>NC_000006.12:17787272-17938787 GCF_000001405.40 Homo sapiens
AAAACTTACTACTTTCAAATTTGGAGGCCTCTTAAACCAACAATGTATAATATGATTGACTGATGTCTATAATTGTTACAAGTTCACAAAACTAAACAGGCTGGGCGCAGTGGCTAACACCTGCAATTCCAGCAGTTTGGGAGGCTGAAGTGGGAGGATCACTTGAGTCCGGGAGTTTGAGACCAGCCTGGGCAACAAAGTGAGACCCCATCTACAAAACATTTAAAAATGAGCCAGGAGTGGTAGCTTGTGCCTGTGGTCTCAGCTACTCAGGAGGCTGAGGCAGGAGGATCTCTTGAGGCCAGGAGTTAGAGGCTGCAGTGAGATATGATCCTGCCACTGCACTCCAGCTTGGGTGACAGAGTGAGACCCTGTCTTAAAACAACAACAACAACAACAACAAAAATAAGATACTACTGTCCAGTTAGGGGAAGAAAACGACCTACTGCCATTGTGTAAAAGTGAAAAAGCTACTCCCCATAAAAGAGTTTGATCTCACATACCTGTTTTATTGCTGACTTTTTTTATCTGTTCATCCAGGTATTCTCGTCGTTTAATGAGTGCATCTGACCACCTCTCCCTTACGCAGTTTAAGTCTTCTTCCTAACATCAGGGAGGGAAAATATTTTCCTGTAGACTGCACAGACAACGATTTCTTTCTTTCTTTTTTTAAAAGATGTTTAAATCAACTAGGAAATTTTTCATTAGGAAAAGCTGTTGAACATTGCTGTGTGATTAATATGCAAGAAAGCAGAGAGGCCTCAGTAACACTGCATGTTGATCAAGGATGCTGTTACCCAGAAATCAGAGCCCCTGGATCTCCAGAAGGATAATTATACTTAAAAGCAAGACAAGCTCAAACTATACCAGCTGTCAGATTTTTTTTACAATGAGTGTATGTATATTTAAATCGTAGCTATTCATTGCAGGATTTGTGATCCCAAACAGAAGGACAGCATGAACAGAGCCCAAACCAAGTAACAACAAATGGAATGGAAAATGACAGGCATTTTCATAGCTCCATAGTTCAGTGGTCTGATAACATAGATTTTCTGAAATGCAAAGAGTAGGTCAGCAGAGAACTTTTCAAACTTGCCACAAACATTTTACTTCCAACCACCACGAGGCTAAGCAAAAATCTCCCATGCAAACTCCAACATGCAGTCAGCCATGCTTTAAGAAATCCCCTAGGCAGCCATTGGACTGCACTGTGAAAAATGTGCCAGGAAGCGCACAAACAGCCGCAGGACGTTAGTCAATGGCATTGCTGAGATTCAAGGGGATACTGATATTTCCCTTAAAGGTTTTTCTTCGTGGAATTATGAGTAGGGAAAGAAAATCCATCAATTCTATTAAAAATGCTCTTTGACTTGCCTAATTCTAGTTTAAGACTTAAGACGTTACATCAAGAATAGAGCCCTTGGACCTCTGAAACTTTACCAACAGTGTACCCACATTTTTTTTTCCCCGAAACAGAGTTTCGCTCTTGTCGCCCAGGCTGGAGTGCAGTGGCACAATCTCGGCTCACTGCAACCTCTGCCTCCTAGGTTTAAGCGATTCTCCTGCCTCAGCCTCCCGAGTAGCTGGGATTATAGGCGCGCGCCACCACGCCCAGCTAATTTTTGTATTTTTAGTAGAGACGGAGTTTCACCATGTTGGCCAGGCTGGTCTTGAACTCCTGACCTTGTGATCCACCTGCCTCGGCCTCCCAAAGTGCTGGGATTACAGGCGTGAGCCACCACGCCCAGCCACTGTACCCACATTTTACATGTAGGAAGGCACACTGGGAAAACATCCTTTGAAGATGTGTATGGAGAATCCGTACAAAGACTGGGAACCGAACCCAGAAAGCTTCATCTTGGTTTGCTGCTTTGACTATTTGTACGTAACCCCACACTCCATGATATCAGGCCAGTCAGTGCTGACTAGGTACAATCTCAATTTGCACATCTATATATTTTTTCTAGATTCCCAACCAGAAAAAGCTGAGATTTAAATTCTATAGGTTATGGAGAACTAAGTGTGACCCAAATGAGAAAAGAAAGCTGGCTAAACAAAACACAATTATGCGCATAAAATGTCTCCAATTTTCCTATTCAGCAAAAGTCTTGTAAAGTAAAATGGCATATTACAACAATATTAGCTCTTGGATGTAAGGAGCAGAATGCACTTTAGCATGGGAAAGATAAGAGTCTATCTAAAAGATTATGGATGGATAACTGCAATATTTTAAGATCATCCATTTTTTAAATTAATTAATTAGTTAATTAATTTGCAGGAGACAGGAGTTTTATTATTACTCAAATCAGTCTCCAGATCATCCATTTTAATACAGTGATAATGGTCTTGCTTAGCAATAAGCCAGTAAATCGAGATGGCATAGCAAAAAGGCAATATTTAGTTATAAATTTTGAACTGACAAGGCATCTATAGAAATAATATTGTGTTTGAATACATATAAAGCAAATCAAAAGCAAGTGAAAAACTGCATATTCTCGCTCTAGGGCCCTCCTTCCTCCTCCCTGGCCTCTGCTTTGCGAATGCTGGCAATTAGCAGTAGCTGTGCCCCATGCCACAGGATTGACAGCAGTAGCAATACCTGATAACTATCCATATCATCACCATCCTCATCATCTCTCTGGTAGGAAAAAATAAACACAAAGGACAAGCATTTTGTTTTTCAAACCACATACAGGGAAAATAATTATTTAAGCTTAACACACATTAAAATGGACAGCTTACCTAACATAAGCAAAATAAAACACTAAATTGAATCTCAAAAAAGGTAAAATGGATTTAATTCACTTGTCTATAAAGAATTTTTCACATAAAGAGTCATTGAAACATAAAAACTTGGCTGGGCTCATGCCCGTAATCCCAACACTTTGGGAGGCTGAGGCAGGAGGATCTCTTGAAGCTAGAAGTTTGAGACCCGCCTGGGCAACAATAGCAAGACCCCATCTGTACAAAAAATTTTAAAAAATTAGCTGGATTTGGTAGTGTGCAACTGTATTCCCAGCTACTTGGGAGACTAAAGTGGGAGGATCACTTGAGCGGAGGAGATGGAGGCTGCAGTGAGCTCTGATTACACCACTCCACCTCAGCCTGGGCAACAGAGCAAGACCTTGTCTCCAAAAACATAAAATAAAAATAAGAAATCTCTTAGCTGGAGATAGGAACCAACATAATTGGGCCAGGCCTTATACCACTGTCATACAGACAGCTGATATGTATTTTGGGGTAGACTATTTGACTGAGATTTGAGATAGGCTTAGGAAGACAGAGTGGCAAAACTACAGGGAACATTCTCTTGCCCAATCTCAGTTTGAGCAATGAGGCAAACATCCTTTAAGCCTTAAAGGATGAAATGATTTAACCTTAGGACCACACAGATAATGGCAGGTCAGAACTGTAAGCCATGTCTGAGGTCTCCAACCTCAGCTGTCTTCCCTGATGCAATCATCCCAGGGGAAAGCTGGGGCAACCTCAGGCTATATACATACAAGGGTCTGTACTACACTGTTGAAATAAAAGCAATAGCATACTATTTGGAATATAAGGATTGGTCAGTACTCTCTATTGACCATAACAATCACTTGAAAGAATCATAACTGTCCCAAACACAGGGCAACATTGTAAAATAAATAAACAAAGTAACAATTTTTGCAAAAACATTTGGCAAAACAAAGTAATCACGTTGAAAACAAAAGGGTCTTGGTAGAAAAAAATTTTCCTTATAAACGAGAACCTAGAATCCCTTAATTTAGATTTATGACTAAAAAGTGCTTTAAGAATATAGTCAAAATTATTTTCATATATACTTCAAAATGAACTGCTTTTTTTTTTTTTTTAGTTTGGTAACCACCATTATCAGTTATATGACTAACTTATTAAATGTAATCCTAATCCTGAAGTAATTTATCTTGAACTAATGCTTCCTATTAATGTAAAAGAACAAATGGCTCTAATTTATCATAACTTTTTAAACTATGGAGGTAGTTCTATTAACTGAAAATTGGCCTAAGCATTCATGACATGAAATTGTTGCAAAACCAGCATATTCTGCATTGGTTTCAGCTACTGCATGAGAATAATTCTTTTTTTTTTTTTTGCATCAGAATAATTCTAAAACACTGTGACAACAACAAAAACACTTAACAGACGTGACCTGGAACATGGCAGCAAAGAAAAAAAAAGCCTTTAAAATAGTTACAGTCCAAATTTTAAGCACTATGCTCTTAAAGAGCACATAGCACTGGGGAAAGGCTAATATTTTAAAGTTTACAATTTGACAAAAATCAGTTTTAACTCAGAGGTAGAGCTGTTTTTTAAAAAATGTGAACAGTTGCTGGGTGTGGTGGCTCACACGTGTAATCCCAGTACTTTGGGAGGACCAGGCAGGCGGATCATTTGAGGTGAGGAATGCAAGACCAGCCTGGCCAACATGGTGAAACCCGTCTCTACTAAAAATACAAAAATTAGCTGGGTGTGGTGGTGCGGGCCTGTAATCCCAGCTACTCGGGAGGCTGAGGCAAGAGAATCACTTGAACCAGGGAGATGGAAGATGCAGTGAGCCGAGATTGTGCCACCACACTCCAGCCTGGGTGACAGAGAGAGAGACTCTGTCTCAAAAAAAAAAAAAAAAAAAGTACTGAGCGCAGTGGCTCACGCCTGTAATCCCAGCACTTTGGGAGGTCGAGGTGGGTGGATCATGAGGTCAGGAGTTCAAGGCCAGCCTGGCCAACATGATGAAACCCCTATCTCTACTAAAAATACAAAAATTAGACAGGTGCGTTGGCAGGTGCCCGTAATCCCAGCTACTCTGGAGACTGAGGCAGGAGAATCGCTCGAACCCAGGAGGCAGAGGTTACAGTGAGCCAAGATTGCACCATTGCACTCCAGCCTAGGGGACAGAGTGAGACTCAAAAAAAAAAAAAAAAAAAAAGCAGCAAATAGTTGATCCTTGGAATGTTCCTCAAATGAGAACATTTAGTTAGTTGATGACCCATATACTTATACTGCAGGTCACAGTTTGGAGCACACAGCCGATGTTTTTATTGAACACCAGAGATTTATTAAGCCACAAAATTTTATTGTGGACAGGGACCTCAGAGGATTATTAAGTCTACTTCATCAGTTTGGAGAAAAGGGGAACTCAAAGTTTAAATTTTCCAGCCAAGATAACCATTTAGTAAAGCTCAACTAGACTTAAGAACCCAGGTTTCCTGACTCCCAGTCTAGTGTTCTCTTTCGACCGTGCAGCCACGTAGAAGTTGATGGCTAAGTGAAGGACTGAACTGCTATGAGAATACCTACAATCCCATTTCCTGCTCCACGGGCTGCACACACACAAGGAAAAGTCTGGTGGAGAAGCCTACCAAACCACAGCAGCCCTGTCCTTGCACCTACACTCATACTCTGAATGAAGTGTGGACAGATGTTCCGAGCTAGAGGGAATTTTGGGCTTGAAGAAGGCAGGCAGCATCTGACAAAGCTATTACTGCCTTGAAGTTCAATAGTCTGTGCACTGACTTTCAGCTTTCAGAAGAGACTTTGCCTGAAAGCCAGGAAGCCAAAAGGAAACTAAGATAGAAGAGAAAACATCCTCAAGATTGGCTGGGCTTACACTCAGACTCCATAGAGAAATGTTTTCTCCTCGGCACGATAGGGAGAGTGCTCCCGATCACATATGACGGTGAGGGAGGCAGATTTAACAGTGATTCTTCCCAGTTCCTAATTCATATCTGGTAGTAAACTGGGGACTCAATGAAGCACACACATTTTTTTTTAGGCTACTGGGGGACAAGATCCTAATTTTATTTTTTTTGAGACAGCCTTCCTCTGTCACCCAGGCTGGAGTGCAGTGGTATGATCTTGGCTCACTTGCAGCCTCTGCCTCCTGGGTTCAAATGACTGTCATGCCTCAGCCTCCTGAATAGCTGAGATGACAGTCATGCACCACGACACCTGGCTAATTTTCTGTATTTTTAGTAGAGACGGCGTTTTGCCATGTTGGTCAGGCTGGTCTCGAACTCCTGGGCTCAAGTGATCCTCCCACCTCAGCCTCCCAAAGTGCTGGGATTACAGGCATGAGCAACCGCGCCTGGCCAAGTTCCTAATTTTAGAGATTCTTTTCATGGAGTACTGAATAGTTCTGACTGATAATACGATCAATTCTTAGATCAATTCTTAGAGGTTTTCATCTTTTTATTTTTAAAATGAGAATGTTTAGAAAATGAAGATTTAATGAGCAAAAATGATCATAAGGACAAATTTTAACAAAAAAAGAAGTAAAGCTTTCAAAGAACTGGTTTATTATGACAGTGTATGAAAATAATTTTACACTATAAATAAAAGTGGCCAGGTGCGGTGGCTCATGCCTGTAATCCCTACACTTTGGGAGGCTGAGGCAGGAGGATCACTTGAGTCCAGGAATTTGAGACCAGTGTGGGCAACAGAATGACATGCCCTTCTCTACAAAAAATAAAAGAATCAGCTGGGCGTGGTGATGTGTGCTTGTAGTCCCAGCTACTTCAGAAGCTAAGGTGGGAGGACTGTTTGAGCCCAGGAGGTCAAGGCTGCAGTGAGCCATGATCACACCACTGTACTCCAACCTGGCAACAAAGCAAAACCCTATCTTTTAAAAAAAAAACACACACAAAAAAACCCAAAAAGTGGATCAGGTCAGGCAGTAATGCCAAAGATACAACATATTTTGGGCCAGATATAAAATAAAATCTGCCTAAAGTTAATGACTACTATAGCATTAGGATGCGTGTGTTTATAAATAAAATTATTATTAACTGACACTAAGCAAACAGATTTTAAAGCTAGAAAAAAGGCAATGGATGGAAATGTGAACTGGGGGAAGATCTACGGTTAAGGCAAAGAGTTCTGTTATATTGGCAAAGAGGTCCCCCTGGGACCTGCATTAACCAAGCTTTGTTAAATACTATTTTAAGTCTGCTTGTCTTACCTGGTAACTGTCCAGCCCTCTTTGGAGTTTGGTGGACCTGGCAGTTACACAGCCGATGGATACTGACAGGATGGCTTCAACCATAAGTGGCAGTGTCCCTGAATGCTGCACAGGTTTCACCGTGACTTGTACTCTACGGGAATGACCCTGAAGAGGGTGGGGAGGAGTATGGGTGCCAGGAATGATAATGAAAAGGAACGGGATAAAGAAGGGGAAAAGGATTAGAGAATAAAGATACAAATAGTTAGAAAATCCCCAGAAACAATGTGTAAGAGTGGAACAGAGAGAAAACATTAAAAAAAAACCCAAAACAAACTCAGTACCTGTCTAAGTTGAAAGATGCCTCCTGTGTTGACATCTTTTGCCTGATGAAGTTCCACTGCAGCATACTCTCCTAACTCATTCAATTCTAATATGGAGATCCACATTTCTATTCTTCGCGTTACTTCATTCCACCTGCAGAAACACATTCCAACAAGCAAGAGCGTCATCGTCCAGGGATACTGTTAGTAATAGTAATAAGCCACCATTCACTGAGCACTTACTATGTGCTAGGCACTGTGCCATTTATCTTGTATAAGTTACTTCCTTATTTAACTCTCAAAACCAACCTGTCATATTGTTTCTTTTTATTTATTTTACTGAGGTAGACTGAAATGTCCACATCTTGAGTATAGAGCTCGATGAGTTTTGAGAAATGCACATATGAGTGTAACCTGCCCTATCACCTCAGAAAGTTTGCTCATATGCATTCCCATTCAATCCCCACATTCCCGTAGCAACTGTGTAACTCTCAGAGATTAGTTTTGCCTGTTCTAGAACTCCAAATAAATGGAATCACACATTATGTATTCTTGTGTCTGGCTTCTTTCATTCAGCATAATGTTTCTGAGATTCATCCATATGGATATAAACAGTTTTTTTCTTTTTTAATGCAGAGTAATACTTTATTTGTGAATAATACCAATTTATCCCCATTCACTCACTGAAGGATATTTGGGTTATTTGCAATTTGGGGATACCATGAATAACACTGCCATGAACATCGTATAGGCTGGGTGTGGTGGCTCGAGCTTGTAATTCCAGCACTTTGGAAGGCCAAGGCGGGTGGATCACCTGAGGTCAGGAGTTCGAGACCAGCCTGGCCAACATGGTGAAACCCTGTCTCTACCAAAAATACAAAAAAAAAAAAAAAAATTATCCGGGCATGGCAGCACACGCCTGTAAGCCCAGCTACTCAGGAGGCTGAGGCAGGAGAATCACTTGAACCCAGGAGGTGGAGGTTGCAGTGAGCTAAGATCGCACCACTGCACACTCCAGCCTGGGAGACAGAGCAAGACTCCATCTCAAAAAAAAAAAAAAAGAACATTGTGTACAATTCTATTTGTGGACTTGCATTTTCATTTATCCTGGGTAAATACCTATGAGTGGGATTCTTGGGTCATAAAAGAGGCAAATGATCAACTTGATAAGAAACTGCCAGTCCTCCCCCAGATTGCAGCTTGTGTATTCATTTTCATAGTGGTCTTTTGATGAGCACATGCTTTTAATTTTGATTAAGTCCAACTTAAACAATTTTTTCTTCCATGGTTAGCACTTTCTGTGGCCTGAGAATATGTGACTATCTCAAAATCCTGTGTTCTTCTGTAGGCATTATAGTTTAAGTTGTTGTATTTAAGGTTATGTATGATTCATCTCAAATTAATTTTTGTATATGGTGTGAAGTAAAGAACAAGGGTGATTTTTCTCCACATAGAGATGTAGTTGTTTCAGTCTCATTTGTTGATAGGACATATCATTCCCCATTGAATTTCTTTGGTGGTTGGTAATTTCTTTCATCATTCTCATTTTACAAACGAGGAAATAGGCTCAGAGAAGTTAAATAACTTGTCCAAAATAACGGCAGCAGTCCCAGAATTCAAAGCCTGTATTCTTTTTTTTTTTTTCTTTCCTTTTTTTTCTTTTTTTTTGGAGACGGAGTCTCACTCTGTTGCCCAGGCTGGAGTGCAGTGGCACGATCTTGGCTCACTGAAACCTCCAGCTCCCGGGTTTTATTTATTTATAAATAATTTATTTTTTTATAAATAAAAAAAAAATAAATAAATCCTGCCTCAGCCTCCTGAGTAGCTGGGATTACAGGTGCGTGCCACCACACCTGGGTAATTTTTGTATTTAGTAGAGATGTGGTTTCACCATGTTGGTCAGGCTGGTCTCGAACTCCTGACCTCATGATCCGTCTGCCTTGGCCTCCCAAAGTGCTGGATTACAGGCATGAGCCACCGCACCTGGCCATTCTTTTTTTTTTTTTTTTAAATGATTTTATTTTTTTATAAGCAGCCTCCTAGGCCAGAGTAGGTTCAGAGACTCTGCTCAAGTCCTAGTCTTAACCTTGTACCTAAAGCTCACAGCCAAGTACAAACCTGTCATGCAGTGTTCTTGTCTTAGCATGAAGAGAATCGACCTCCCAGATGGAGCTGCCATTTCCAGCACACCGGTGGCCCCATACTTCAATGGCCAGTGCTCCATCTGAAATGAACTCCAGAAATTCTTCTGTTACATTCACCACATAGTCCTGGGATAAGTGGGGGAAAGCAAAAGAATTATGCTTAAAGGAGTCTGTGAAATTTCCTTTTGACCTTTCAACTGTTATATTTATTTTAGAGTATATTAGCCTGATCGTGACCTTAAATCCGTCTCTTCTGTTTTATAGAAAACCATAAAGAACCACAGAATGTTAGATCTGGAAAGAAAATTGGGAGGTAATTTAACTCAACCCGTTTCTTTCTTTTTTTTTTTCTTGAGACAGAGTCTTGCTCTGTCGCCCAGGCTGGAGTGCAGTGGTGCGATCTCCGCTCACTACAAGCTCCACCTCTCAGGTTCACGCCATTCTCCTGCCTCAGCCTCCCGAGTAGCTGGGACTACAGGCACTCGCCACCACGCCCGGCTATTTTTTTGTATTTTTAGTAGAGACGGGGTTTCACCGTGTTAGCTACGATGGTCTCGATCTCCTGACCTCGTGATCCACCTGCCTCGGCCTCCCACAGTGCTGGGATTACAGGTGTGAGCCACCATGCCCGGCCTCAACCCGTTTCTTATATCAATAAAGAAAATGAAGAAAGCAAATTGTCCAAAGTCATACGGTTTGTTAGTTGCAAAGCTGAATCTACATCGTCTTACACTTGGTTCATTCTCAGTTCCACAGGACCACTCTGATTTTCAGCTGGCATAGACTAACTCAATGAACTGTTCCTTGCCATGGCTTAGGAGAATAATAACAGAATTAAATTTTATATGGTTATCTTCATGACTTTATGCTCTTGCTCTTAAGCTTTCCTACCCTATTTCCTCTTTCCAAAACACAAACAGACAGGGCAAGGTGACTCACGTCTGTAATGCCAGCACTTCGGGAGGCCAAGGCAGGAGGATAGCTGGACAAAGTGACCAGGAGATAGTGACCAGCTTGGGCAACAAAATGAGATCCTGTCTCTACAAAGTAAAAACTAGCCGGGTGTGGTGGTGCACACCTGTAGTCCCAGCTACTCAGGAGGCTGAGGCAGGAGGATTACTTGAACCCAGGAGTTCGAGGCTGCAGTGAGCCGTGATTGTGCCACTGCATTCCAGCCTGGGCAACAGAGTGAGACATCGTCTTTAAAAATAAAAACAAACCCAAACAGATGATTGTGAGGAAATGAATACTGAACTGACTGAGATGGGTGGCAAATCACCCAGAAAAACGAAGTAGGCAACGAGCCAAGCTAATTTTCTTTCCATTAGTCTTTAGGTGGAATCTCAGGTGAAGACATTGCTTGTGACTCTAATTTGCAGAAACAGTTGTGCTATATTTATTTAACCATATAGTATCTGCTTTTTAGTCTATTTTATTTGAAGATAGACCCAGAATTTAAGAAGAAAAAGAAACTTCATGACAATCTATACATTTTAGCGATGAAAAAACTCCAAGATGAAAAAACTCCAAGATCACAAGAGATCCAAAAAACTCCAAGATCATAAGAACCCAGAAGCTCTGGGACTAGCATTTATTAAAACAGCTGTTAACCAGGACACAGTTAAAATTCAGATTTCATCTTTCTAAACAAGCAGCTTTGTGGATTCAAAGAAAGATGGGGAATATTTAAAATAATATTCAGAGAACAACAATAAAAAATGATTAATAAAGATTTTGAGGAACAGACTTGTTGAATACAGATAAATGTATGCTATTTGTTTTCAGAAAAAGAAAAACTTGACAGCCCTTACCTATGTGAAATTTTATAGGTGGTGATATGGATTCGTTTTCTAAGTGTAGAACCAGAAAGAATAAGCATGATTTGCAAAAGAAGGGATCTTGTGTATCTATGAAGGGAAGTCTAAGGAAAAACAAAACTATAGAGAGGATGGAGCTGGTCTTTTAGAAATGACTTGTCAGCAGTCCTTGTGAAAGCCAGGAAGAGTATATGATGTCTCAAAGGAGATCCAACCACATTCACCACAAATTCACCTTTCCTTTTTTTATATTTTCTCATATGACTTATGAGAAACTCTATATGAAACATATCACTCATATGATACATTAGAATGTAATGCTATATTCATAAGAATCAGATGTATAGCAACTTACATGTTAAGATGCGCAAATTCTGAAATATGTATAATATGATCCCACTTTTGCATAGCATTTTTAAAGAACTTATGTGTGCATGATGTAAAAGGGTGTATGTACATATGTTATGACACACATATAAAAGATGCAGAGCATAGAAAGTAGTTTAATGAAATATGTAGCAACCTGTCACTGGTGGTTTATATCTTTGGGGAACAAGACTGTTGGTAGAGATCTTTTAGATTTTATTTTAAATATTTCTAAACTATTTGCATTTGTAATGAGGTACATTTTTGAGGTTAAAACATCTAATAAACATATTATACTTAAAACAAATGCTTGTGGGGACAACTGATTGTTGAACTGCACCAATTTCTGCTGCTTCCTACACAGCTCATTTGGTAATGGCATTTGTACCTTACAGTGGGAGAAGGTCACTGTGTACTGGGCATCCTTGGACTGTGGTGAAGGCACCTCGGGGTCCACCACCGGGGCAGCCACCGTAGACTCACACTGGTCCCAGAATGTGTATTGACAGAAGACAAAATTTGAGAGGTTTAAGGGCAGCCCCGTTGCTTCTTTAATTTTTACCTGAAGAGATAAACAATACAAATAAAACTCCAATGAACACTAAACATTCTTTCATTTCAGCTACCTCAAATTTAAGAGTAAGCGATGAAACAAATTGGTCATCCATTTGACATGTGAAAATATTATATCTGACACCGTGACACTAAGGGTTGTATCGATAATGAAATCTGTACCACAGTTCTGTAACTATAGTATATAAACTTGGCAACAAATACACACATTCCTGCAAAAGCTTCCTAATGACTGAGATGCAACCTTTAATAGAAAAACATAATTCACTAAGCAACATACACTTCTTGCATGTCAAATACATAAACACTTTTGAAATTTGATGCAACTGTCATAAGAAAGTGTGCTATATTTCTGAAAACAAAGTACTGTCCACCACTGTATCTGCTGTTACAAAATCCAACTTTTACTACCCTGGATGAAAAACTCTCATAAGATTTTTTGTAAAATGGTTTTGCATGAAAAAGGTCATTTATATGAGCCTCCCATCACTGTCCTCTCACCCGACATGTCAGCTTTTTGACTCGGTGAATGATTTCCCCGCTGCTGTCTACGACTTCAAGGCTCCCACTTTCACTGGAATTCTCCGAAGAGTCATCCTCCACCACACGCTCTGGAACAGCTCCTGTAACACGCATCACTTCCACGTGGAGACGCCCTGCAACCTGGGTCAAGGAACCAGAGCACCTTAGAGTGAACAGACATCCTGTGGGCAACCTCGACCCAAGACAGACGTGCCTTCTACAGTGAACCTGGAGAGGGGCTCTGCAGCTGCTGCTTGGTCGTCTTCGGCAACGGGAGCCCTGCTACTACCAGAGCAGTCCATTCCACCACTTGCCCCTGTGATCATCCTGCCTTAGTGTGAGCCAAATTTGCCTCCCTGCAACTTGCCTTCTGGAGTCATCCTCAAATGTATCCTTCCAAAGGACAGCCCAGGAATAGCTTAAAGGTAGCTCTCACATTTTACTTGGAGTCATCTAGTATCCATGTTTTGTTTTGTTTTTCCAAGATGGAGTCTTGCTCTGTCATCCAGGCTGGAGTGCAGTGGCATGATCTCAGCTTGCTATAACCTCTGCCTCCTGAGTTCAAGCGATTCTCCTGCCTCAGCCTTCTGAGTAGTTGGGATTACAGGTGCGTGCTACCACGCCCAGCTAATTTTTTTTTTTTTTTGAGACAATGTCTAGCTCTGTTGCCCAGGCTGGAGTGCAGTGGCGTGATCTCGGCTCACTGCAACCTCCACCTCCTGGGTTCAAGCGGTTCTTCTGCCTCAGCTTCCCAAGTAGCTGGGATTACAGGTGCCTGCCACCATGCCTAGCTAATTTTTGTATTTTTAGTAGAGACGGGGTTTCACTGTGTTGGCCAGGCTGGTCTCGGACTCCTGACCTCATGATCCACCCGCCTCGGCCTCCCAAAGTGCTGGGATTACAATCATAAGCCACCGTGTCCGGCCAATTTTTGTATTTTTAGTAAAGACGGGCTTTCACCATCTTGGCCAGGCTGGTCTCGAACTCCTGACCTTGTGATCTGCCTGCCTCGGCCTCCCAAAGTGCTGGGATTATAGGTGTGAGCCAACATGCCTGGCTATCCATGTTTTTTAAAATATATTCACTCACCTATTCATGTGAGTGAATATGAAATGCTTCATTCACTTATTCATTTGACCAAACAGCTAGCTCATGAAATACCAAAATAAAAACACAGGTTCTGCCATCAGGCAACTCACAGTAAAGGGAGGCAAGACAGAGAAGTAACTCACTAACAGGCCAGGCGTGGTGGCTCAAGCCTATAATCACAGCACTTTGGGAGGCCGAGGCGGGTGGATCACCTGAGGTTAGGAGTTCAAGAGCAGCCTGGCCAACATGATGAAACCCTGTCTCTACTAAAAATACAAATAATTAAAAAAAAAATTAGCCAGGCATGGTGGGTCATACCTGTAGTCCCAGCTACTCGGGAGGCTGTGGCAGGACTGCTTGAACCCGCGAGGCGGAGGTTGCAGTGAGCCGAGATCGCACCACTGTGCTCTAACCTGGGCAACAGAGTGAGACTCGGTCTCAAACAACAACAACAAAAACAACAACAACAACAGCAACAAAACTCACTAATAACAGCATAGAATAGTTGCTATAATAGATATATGTGCGAGTTGTTATGGGATAAACTTATCCACTAACACATATTTACCAAGAACTAACTGTGCCAGGAACTGTGCTATGAGCATCCAATAGCAAACCAAATTGACAAGGTTCCCGGGCTCGCGCAGCTTTTATTCTCTTGAGAGTAGAGAATGGGTGTGTAACTCAGACTGGGGCTGGGAGCAGGATGAAGGAGGGCTCCATAAAGCAGTGCCATTAGATCTAATCCAGGAGGAACAGCATATTGAAAGCCACACAGATATGAGGAATGTTACTTTAAAACTTTTTCATTAAAAGGTTTTAAATTTTCTATCATGGTGGCTCTCTGGATAGGAGCCAGTTTAACCGTGTTTTTCTTAAAGCTGGCTGCACAGAATCAAATTAGAGGAAAAGGATTATTCTAAAATTTGCATTCTTGGAGTGCTTTGTCTTAATTATATTTCATAACATAGTTTCAGGTTGTAATGACTGTGGCTGTCATTACACATGTGTACAAGGTGACACATGTTCTGGTAGTACTGCTATCATCCTAAACAGGGAAGGTTATTTTTAAAGGTAGATCAGATCCAATTTCCACACAGCAATTGGTACTGGCACCAAGGACCTACAAGAAATTACTCGATGATATCTGAGAAGTAAGACAAATATGGAGGAAGTAGTAAGATGGGGGAAGAAAGGAAATAAAAGAAATCAGAAGATAGTTGTTCTTAAGCTTTTTTTTTTTTTTTGAGACGGAGTTTCGCTCTTGTTGCCCAGGCTGGAGTGCAATGGCGCGATCTCGGCTCACAGCAACCTCCGCCTCCCGGGTTCAAGCCATTCTCCTGCCTCAGCCTCCGGAGTAGCTGGGATTACAGGCATGCGCCACCACGCCGGCTAATTTTGTATTTTTAGTAGAGATGGGGTTTCTCCATGTTGGTCAGGCTGGTCTCGAACACCGGACCTCAGGTGATCTGCCTGCCTCGGCCTCCCAAAGTGCTGGGATTACAGGCGTGAGCCACCACACCCGGCCAAGCTTTTTTTTTTCTTTTTAATGCTTTTCGATAATCTAATTCATTTTAATATAATTTCAGGGGGATTCATGGAATACTCAAAGCATACCACAGACTCCAAATTAAGAAGTCCTGAACTAGGGACTCAGCCACTGAATCACTCTGCCATGTTAACTGTGCTTTTTCTTTTTGAGACAGGGTCTTGCTCTGTTGTCCAGGCTGGGGTGCATTGGTATGATCATGGCTCACTGCTGCTTAGACCTACCTGGGCTTTGGTGATCCTCCCACCTCAGCCTCCTGAGTAGCTGGTGGGACTATAGGTGCTCATCACCATGCCTGGTTAATTTTTTTGTGTTTTTTTTGTTTTTTTTTGTTTTGTTTTGAGACAGAATCTTGCTCTGTCACCCAGGTTGGAATGTAGTGGTGTGATCTTGGCTCACTGCAACCTCCACCTCCCGGGTTCAAGCGATTCTCCTGCCTCAGCCTCCCGAGTAGCTGGGACTACAGGTGCCCGCCACTAAGCCTGGCTAATTTTTTTGTATTTTTAGTAGAGACGGGGTTTCACCATATTGGCCAGGCTGGTCTTGAACTCCTGACCTTGTGATCCACCTGCCTCTGCCTCCCAAAGTGCAGGGATTACAGGCGTGAGCCACTGCACTCTGCCCATGCCTGGTCAATTTTTAAATTTCTTTTTTAGACATGGGGTCTCATAGTGTTGACCAGGCTGGTTTCAGACTCCTAACTGTGCCCATTTTTCCCATGGGAAAAAGCTCTGTTAGGCACTGGTCCTCTGGAGCAGAATGTCCATGGGGTGTTTCCATAGTGGAGGGTGGGCTGTGCACTTACACCCCACAACTGGGAACCCGGGTCTATATCGCAGCTTCACTTTGGGCAGAATGGCATCTTATTCTTCACCTGCTCTAAGAATCACAAGAAATAACCTGGTAGTTCAACGTACATTTTCTGAAATATCTTATGCCTACCTAGGCCACTATATCTAAATAGCTGAAATACCAGAGTTTAAAAGGAGGGTAACAATGAGTCATTGAAGCCTGTTTTGTTTTGAGTACTTTGGACTGCAAAATAATCCTCCTGAGTTGTATCTTACAAAGACCATTTAGGGGCCAGGAAGGAACTAGAGTATATCGCAAAGGTATGAGATTACCTTTAAAAAGAGAGAGCGATATGGGGCACAGAGCTGAATATGGTTTCCAAAATATTTCCCATTTGATTAAAACAAAGAAAAAACTTGTGACCTCCAAATATTAAATGTTATAATAATCTTTTAAGACCATGACTTGGGCCAGGCACCGTGGCTCACGCCTGTAATCCCAGCACTTTGGGAAGCCGAGGCGGGCGGATCACAAGGTCAGGAGATCAAGACCATCCTGGCTAACACGGTGAAACCCCGTCTCCACTAAAAATACAAAAAATTAGCCCGATATGGTGGTGGGCGCCTGTAGTCCCAGCTACTCGGGAGGCTGAGGCAAGAGAATGGCGTGAACCCGGAAGGCGGAGCTTGCAGTGAGCCGAGATCGCGCCACTGCACTCCAGCCTGGGCGACAGAGTGAGACTCCGTCTCAAACAAACAAACAAACAAACAAAACCATGACTTAATCCTCAAAGCTTCTAATATCGATTATTAGTAGAGAAAAAAGAATGCAGACCTTGACTATTTGCCTTAGTTTCTTGATCCACCTCAAGAACATAGCTTAAATAGAATGAAAAACAAAATAAAACAAAACAAAAAACTTGAACCACCATCGTTCTCCAAGGCTGGCCTGTGCTTACCTCCCCCTGCTGGCTGATGATAGGGACTGCATACTGAAGTTTCACATCACAGAAGAGGCATTCCAAGAATACATTCGCCACCCCGATGAGGTTGTGATTTTCTTGGGCTTCATAGAAAGGGTCACCTCGTTTTCCGTAGAGTCTCTTTGCCTGAGAAGTAGGAGGGGCCAGTGAGTGGACGAATAAGAAACATAACATCAATTTAAATAATATTATTTAAAACTAGCATTTGAAAAAAAATTTAAAGAATCTATCCATTTAAACAGCAAGTAAAATTATAATGTCACATAAATAAAAACTAAATTAGCTGGGCGTGGTGGCGCACGCCTGTGGTCCCACCTACTCAGGAGGCTGGGGCACGAGAATCGCTTGAACCCAGGAGACAGAGGTTTCAGTGAGCTGAGATTACACCACTCCAGCCTGAGTGACAGAGCGAGACTCTGTCTCCATTAAAAAAAAAAAAAAAAAAAAAAAAAAAAAAAAAAGAATTAGCCCATGGGAGGGGCCTGTTTGCTGGGGAGCTAACTAATGCCTGTGCAGAAGATTCCTCTTCAGTTCCTGCCTTGTCTTCCTTATCTACCTCACTTGCAGCTTTTTCATTTCATCCCCTTTGTTTTGCCTCATCTCCTTTGCCAAGTCTTCTTTTCCACTGCTAATGTCCAAAAAATGGATTATGCAAGCTTAAATTACTCTTAGTAATCTACCTGGCCACGATCACAGCTAGGGGTGCGTGAACACACATTAATGAATGCGAAATCCACACTGGCTCCAGTCAAGCTGATTTTTCACAGCACCGATAAAATGGCATAAATTTACTTCATTCTACTTCTTTTCACTTGAAATGTAGTAAACATGAAGCCAAATAAGAATCTACTATATGTTTTCTTCATTTAGTTCCCAACTGTGTGGGGATCATGTGTTGTATTACTGATCCAACTTAGCGCTTCTTTCAAAATCACTTGTACTTTATTTTCCTAATATAATATCTAACGTATCATGAGCACATCTCCGTGTGTGTGTGTGTGTGTGTGTGTGTGTGTGTGTGTGTTGCTAAATCGCTTATATTCTCTGTTTTTAACATAACAAAATCTCCATTACATTTTGTCTCTTTTACCTCAGGAACTTTTTCCTTCCATTCTTGGTAAAGGTCTCTCATGTCAATTAATTTATTCTCCAGCTTCTCAATGGTCCACACTTGGGTGCTCTTTCCTTTCCTCCTCACTTGGATAGCTGGTTCACTCACTATTGCACCTCTCTGCATAAGGAAGAAAAACAAAACAAACCCTGTTATAACTCCTTTTTCGATTGCTAAAGCAATATATATACAACAGTAACACAGTAAGTTTGCAAAACACATAAATGCATACAAAAGAAGATAAAATTCTACCACCTACGAGGATAGTCTGGTTTATTTTCTACCTTCTATGTACACTCATGCACACTTTTTAATTTTTATCACGATCAAGACCAAACAAAAGTATAACTTCATACCCCAATCCTCTCTCCAGTTTTGATATTGTGATCATTTTTCTTGTATTGTTAAATATTCTTCATAAGCACGATTTTTTTTTTTTTTTGAGATAGGATCTTGCTCTATCATCCAAGCTGCAGTGAAGTGGTATGATCTTAGTGCACTGCAGCCTTGACCTCCTGGGCTCCAGGAATCCTCCCACCTCAGCCTCCCAAGTAGCTGGGACTATAGGCACATGACACCATGACTGACTATTTTTTATTTTATTTTTTGTATTTTTTTGTATAGATGGGGTTTTGTTATGTTGCCCGGGCTGGTCTCGAACTCCTGTACTCAAGCGATCTGCCCACCTTGGCCTGCCAAAGTGCTAGGATTACAGGCGTGAGCCACCAGGCCCAGCCATAACCATGATTTTTTAATGGCAACACAGCAGTGTCCTTAGCATTTGGATGTACTATACATTTGAGTAATTATTCTATTGTTTGACATCATGTCTGTTTCAAGGTTTTGCTATTATAAAGTCCACTATAAGCATCCTTGTGTATAAATCTCTATGGACACTTCTATGACTATGGGCTTAGAATAAATTTCCCAAAGGGGAACTACTAGGTCAAAAGACTAAAACCCAGTAAGACTGATAAGATACTCCCTGACTCATTTTCTAGCTTGCTTGCTGGAAGAAAAAGTGAATGGATGAAAAACAATTTTCTTACTTTTTTTAAATTTAGTTTTTCTTTTTTTCTGAGTCATAGAAAAACAATTTTCTGGCTGGGCACGGTGGCTCATGCCTGTAATCCCAGCACTTTGGGAGGCCAAGGTGGGTGGATCACCTGAGGTCAGGAGTTCGAGACCAGCCTCACTAACATGGTGAAACCCTGCCTCTACTAAAAATACAAAATTAGCTTGGTGTGGTGGCGCATGCCTGTAATCCCAGCCACTTGGGAGGCTGAGGCAAGAGAATCACTTGAACCCGGGAGGCGGAGGTTGTAGTGAGCCAAGATCATGTCATTGCACTCCAGCCTGGGCAAAGAGCGAAACTCTGTCTCAAAAAACAACAACTGTTGCAGGAAGTCAGGGACCCCAAACGGAGGGACCGGCTGGAACCGTAGCAGAGGAAGATGAATTGTGAAGATTTCATGGACGTTTATCAGTTCCCAAATAATACTTTTATAATTTCTTATGCCTGTCTTTACTTTTATCTCTTAATCCTATTATCTTTGTAAGCTGAAGATGTACGTCATCTCAGGACCACTGTGATAACTGTGTTAACTATACAAATTGATTATAAAATGTGTGTTTGAACAATATGAAATCAGTGCACCTTGAAAAATAACAGAATAACAGTGATTTTTAGGGAACAAGGGAAGACAACCATAAGGTCTGACTGCCTGCAGGGTTGGACAAAAAGAGCCATATTTTTCTTCTTGCAGAGAGCCTATAAACAGACATGCAAGTAGGAGATATATTGCTAAATTCTTGTCCTAGCAAGAAATATTAATATTAATACCCTGGGAAAGGAATGCATTGTGGGGGGAGGTCTATAAACGGCCGCTCTGGGAATGTCTTACCTGGTTGAGATAAGCACTGAGATACGCCCTGGTCTCCTGCAGTACCCTCAAGCTTACTAGGGTGGGGAAAAACTCCACCCTGGTAAGTTTGTGGTCAGACCGGTTCTCTGCTCTCGAACCCTGTTTTCTGTTATTTAAGATGTTTATCAAGACAATATGTGCACCACTGAACATAGACCCTTATCAGTGGTTCTCCTTTTGCCTCTGTCCTGTTCCCTCAGAAGCATGTGATCTTTGCTAGACTGGTATTAGTAGTTCTGCTTTTTGTCCTTTGAAGCATGTGATCTTTGTACCTACTCCCTGTTCTTACACCTCCTCCCCTTTTGAAACCCTCAATAAAAACTTGCTGGTTTTGAGGCTCAGGTGGACATCATGGTCCTACCGATATGTGATGTCACCCCCGGCGGCCCAGCTGTAAAATTCCTCTCTTTGTACTCTTTCTCTTTATTTCTCAGCTGGCTGACACTTATGGAAAATAGAAAGAACCTACAATGAAATATTGTGGGCGGGTTCCCCTGATAAACAACAACAGCAACAAAAATGAAAAACAATTTTCTTCAAAGTTTCTCCCTACAGGAAAAATTCTTCAAGGTGAAATGACAGGAAACTCCCAGACGCTTGCAAAGAGAGCCGTGTATTTGAAGTCAGGTATCATGAAAAGTCTTCCTTTCTTGTAGAATTCACTCTTAAAAAGGTACCATAGCAGGCTGGGCACAGTGGCTCACGCCTGTAATCCTAGCACTCTGGGAGACTGAGCGTGCAGAACATCTGAACCCAGGAGTTCAAGACTAGCCTGGCCAATATGGCAAAACCCTGTCTCTACTAAAAACACAAAAATTGGCCGGGTGTGCTAGTGCGCGCCTGTAATCCCAGCTACTCGGGAGGTTGAGGTAGGAGAATTGCTTGAACCCAGGAGGCGGAGATTGCAGTGAGCTGAGATCATGCCATTGCACTCCAGCCTGGGTGACAGAGCAAGACTCAGTCTAAAAACAAACAAACAAACAAACAAACAAAACCCTCAGGTACTACAGCCTACATGTATTCCCCCATTTCAGAAAGGGGCATTTACATGCAAAAAAAAGCAGGCAAAATACATGTTTCCAGTTTTATTGTTTTAAAGAAGGCATATAAATTAGGAAGTCCTTCAGCCACTAAAATTTTGTGTATTCTGCTTATTACATATCTAAGAACATCATTTAAATAGCATTCTTATCCAATGAGGTATATAAAGAATGTCTTGAAAAAAATAAACATCTCTGGCTGATATCAGGATCTCCTCAGGCATGTTTCTGGGGTTTCAGTTTTAGATCCTATTTTACAATATTTACTATTGTGCATCTTGCCCTCTCACTTGAAGGACATTCTTACCTTCCTATTGGCACTGAGGTTTGCAGCAGGGATCTGAAGAGTCACTTGGTAATCGGTGAGTTTGCTCATTTCCTCAGCCAGGAAGTTTGCTTCCCTCACCAAGGTATTAGCTTTAACCAGCTGCTCTCGCAGTTTTGCCAGGCTTTGTCGGAAGAGTTCATCCCTGCAGTGTCATAGAAAAGGGAACGAGAAAATCTAAAGGAAAACTGCAATCCCGTTTCTAAGTGAGCATCTTATTAGAAAATGGGAGAAAACTCCTCTCGGGCAGTATTTTTCAAACTATTTTACCAGACTACCTCTCATCCTTCCCTCCTGCCCACAGATGGGCTATCTGTTGAGAACTACTGATGGGAAGCAAATTGTTGAGCAACTTAACTGAAAACCACGTTTTAAATTATGTAACACGTGAAAACGATCAGATTGTGATAGGAGGATGCAAAAAACCAGTACAGGAATCTTTGGGAAAAACAAACGATGATTACGACTTGTGTGTGCTGAGGGAGGGTGGTGGGGCAGGGAGGGGTTGGCAGATGAGAGAAACCTGGAGTTAGGAGAAGAAATTATTTTTCATGACTTCTGCAGTTGGCAAAAGGCATGCAATGGTAAGGTAGTTCTGCAGTAGCAGGAATTCTTCGTTTCAACTCTCTGTACAACATTACTTGCTGATAAAAAGCTTCTCTAATATCCCAGATTGGTCAAAACCCTCTTATATGTTCTCTCAGCCCCATGCCTTTAGCCTCCATAGCATTTGCCATAGTTAGAACTTTTCATTTTTACTCGTATAATTATTTGTTTAATATCTGTCTCCTACTAGGCTGTTAGGTTGCCCCAAGGCAGGGACCATGTCTTTTTTTGCTTGCACTACCCTAGCTCCTGGCCAAGTGCATGACCCATCGTAGGATATTCAAAAAAGACCCACTGAATAAAGAAAAGAGTGCTTCTGGATTTCACATTTGAATCTGGGTTCTAAAGTCACTCCATCTAGCAATTGCTCTGTGTCATATATAACTTCTCTTTTCCACCATTTATACGCCGCAGGAAATGCTTACATCATAGAAAAATAATGAACTCAAAGCACCTAAATCTCTACTCCTCACTCGTCACCTTAGAAATGACAGAAGACGCATGCTGTGCGGATGCTAAGGTAAACAAAACAGTTTCTTAAAACCATATTACCAGCTGGGGGCAGTGGCTCATGGCTATAATCCCAACACTTTGGGAAGCCGAGGTGGGAGGATCACTTGAGGCCAGGAGTTCAAGACCAGCCTGGGCAACATAGCAAGACCTCATCTCTATTAAAAAAAAACAAAAAAGGTGATACCATTTTTCCAGTCACCCACGCTTAGATTTGTTCAGTCGGCTCAGTCTCTTCTCTTTTCTACAATGTCCAAAAAATAAGCCTATTGATTCTTCCTTTGAAGCATCTCCTAAGTCTCTCTGTGTTTTATCATATCCCTGGCTCAGGGCCCTTACACCCTTCTCAATAATCTCACAGTACCCAGGCTCTTCTTGCTCCACTGCAAGACAGTCCTTATCAAGCCCTGCCTTCCTCAGGCCGTTCCTCGGCTCAAGGCCTTGCAGGGCTCCTCTTCTCCCATAAAATAAATCCCAAACTCCAAATCTGTACCCTCCCACAACCCCTGCCTAATGGTTTTTGAACTTAATTTTCCCTACTCTTCCATAAATCACCTTCTACACCAGTGGTCCCCAACCTTTTTGGCACCAGGGACTAGTTACATGGAAGACAACTTTTCCATGGACCGAGGTTGGGGAAAGGGAGAGTTTTGGGATGACTCAAGTGCATTACATTTATTGTGCACTTTATTTCTATTATTATATTGTAATAGACAATGAAATAATGATACAGCTCACCATAATGTAGAATCAGTGGGAGCCCTGAGCTTGTTTTCCTACAATTAGACAGTTCCATCTGGGGGTGTTGGTAGACAGTGATAGATCATCAGGCTTCAGACTCTTATAAGGAACATGCAACCTAGATCTCTCGCATGTACAGTTCATAATAGGGTTTGTGCTCCTGTGAGAATCTAATGCCACTGCTGATCTGACAGGAGGTGGAGCTCAGGCAGTAATGCAAGTGATGGGGAGCAGCTGTAGACACAGATGAAGCTTCGCTTGCTGGCCCACTATTCACCTCCTGCTGTGCAGCCTGGTTCCTAACAGGCCACGGACCCGTACCAGTTTGTGGTCTGGGGATTGGGGACCCCTGTTCTAGACTACACGAAACAGTTCTTTTGCAGTCTCCCAAATACATCTTAATTCTCTTCCATTGCTTCTCATCTGTTCATGCCAATCTGCCCACCCAAAATGTCCTTCTTACTTTCTCTCTGCTGGTCAAACTCTACCTCTCAAATGCACTTGAAATCAATCCTTCTCCCTGAAAACCTCTGTAGAAGACTCAGCTTCATTAAGTCTCATCTTCCACTGAACAACCAACAAGCTTACTGTGCAGTCTGTCCACTTAGCGATTACATGCTTTTCACTTCAATACATTCACACAATCAATGCATACAATATTTACTAAATACCTACCAGGTGACCACATCATTCTAGGCACTAGGGATACTTCAAAGGATTCCCTGTCCCTTGCAACTCATTTTCCAGGGTAGGAAATAGAAAACAAACAAATAACTATTAATATATAATCCTAACGTTTCCTATTGTTGAATGAAACTGTTCTTTAATTTTCTATGACTTAATTTTTCCACAAATTTATATCTTGTTTCATACTACATTCTAAGTGTACAAAGAGAATAAACGACATCTGTGGCTTTCTTTGTAATTCTCACCAGCGTTTAAATTTACTTGATTCTCAACCCATCAACATTCATGTAGGTAAGAGTCCTTCATTATTTCACAACCCATCAACAATTTACTTAGGTAAGAGTTCCAGCTTCTTATATAACCACATACAATTAATGACATCTTACTTTTATCCAGTGAAACCTGACAAAATCAATAATGCAACTATTCTTGTCTTTGAATGACATTCCCAAAATATCTCATCTTTTTTTTTCTTCCTTCCTTCCTTCCTTCTCTCCCTCCCTTTTTCTTTCTTTCCTTCTCTCTCTCTCTTTTTCTTGGAGATAGGGTCTCCCTGTGTTGCCCAGGCTGCAGTGCAGTGGCTATTCAGAGGCATGATCACAGTGCACTACAGCTTGAAACTCCTGGGCGCAGGTGATCCTCCTGCCTCAGCCTCTGGAGTAGCTGAGACTATAGGCATGTGCCACTGTACCCGACTTCTACACTTTTCCTTTCTTTTAAGAATTTAAGCCCCAAAGAAAATCAATCTGGAATTAAGGGAAATCAAAAAAATATTTTTAACTATTTAACTGAAAAACACTATGGTTAAAAGCAAACCACCTTCTTTATCAGATACTTTTGTTTTTTAAAATTTAAATATTTTGACTTATTTTAGGTTCAGGGGTACATGCACAGGTTTGTTATACAGGTCAACTCATGACTAAGGGGTTTGATGTATGGATTATTTCATTACCCGGGTAGTAAGCATAGTACTTGGCAGGTTTTTGTTTTTTTTTCCTGAGCCTCTCCCTCCTCCTCCCACAGGCCCCAGTGTCTGTTGTTCCCCTTTCTGTCCATCGGTTCCCATGATTTAGCTCTCACTTATTAGTGAGAACACGCGGTATCTGGTGTTCTGTTCCTGCATTCGTTTTCTAAGAATGATGGCCGCCAGTTCCATCCATGTTCCTGCAAAGGACACGATCTTGTTGTTTTTCATGGCTGCATAGTATTCCATGGTGTACATGTACCACGTTTTCTTTATCCAGTCTATCGTTGGACATTTAGGTTGATTCCATGTCTTTCCTATTGTGAATAGCACTGCAATGAATATACATGTGCATGTGTCTTTATGGTAGAACAACTTATATTTCTTTGGGTACATACCCAATAGTGAGATGGCTGGGTGAAATGATAGTTCTGTTTTTAGCTCTTTAAAAAATTGCCGCATTGCTTTCCACAATGATTGAATTAATTTACACTCTCACCAACAGTGTATAAGGGTTCCCTTTTCTTCGCAACTTTGCCAGAATCTGTTATTTTTTGACTTTTTAATAATAGCCATTCTGACTGGTGTGAGATGGTATCTCATTGTGGTTTTGATTTGCATTTCCCTAGTCATTGGTGATAATGAACACTTCTTAATATGCTTTGTTGGCCACATGTATGTCTTCTTTTGAAGACACTTTTGCTTTTATCTTTTATATTGTTTAGTAAATAGAAAGGATATCAATGGGTACAATTATATCAGTTATCCTCAACAGCTAGCTGTTGCTTGGCGTGAAGCCACCAGCTCATAGTAAATGTGTAAAAGGCAGCTCTTCAGAAAAAGGACCATCTGATAACTTTTGTCTGTTTCTTCCAGGTACAATAAAGTATAAAAAGTAACATAACATCTGGTGCAGTGGCTCACGCTTATAATCCCAACACTTTGGGAGGCTGAGGCGGGCGGATCACCTGAGGTCAGGGGTTCGAGACCAGCCTGGCCAACATGGTGAAACCTCATCTCTACTAAAAATACAAAAATTAGCCAGGTATTGTGGTGGGCACTTGTAATCCCAGCTACTTGGGAGGCAGAGGTAGGAGAATCGCTTGAACCTGGGAGATGGAGGTTGCAGTGAGCGGATATCATGCCATTGCACTCCAGCCTTGCACTCTAGCCTGGGCAAGAAGAGTGAAACTCCATCTCAGAAAAAAGAGTAATATAAGTATGATAAATCTTCCTATTTCAGTATCCAGACAGATGAGCAGGTAGCTCCTGGGGAAAATATAATTGACTCTCTTCTCTTCATTTAACATTAACAAGTGCGTGACTGTTGCGAGCCTTGCGCTGCAGGGCAGGGTTCCCTTTTCTCCTCTTGGGAGTCACCTTCCCCGGGTGTGGCCTGTGTTCTGCATCTCATTGCTAGTGAGAGCTGCAGTGTGTGTGTGAGTTACAGGAAGAGCTCTACAGTCAGAATGCCACGGCTCTGATCCCATCGCCCAATTTACCAGCTAACTGACCATCTGGGTAAATCATTTAACCTCTCAGCCTGAGTTTCCTTATGTGTAAAGGCAGTAGCAGTTGTGAGGATTAGAGGAATACAGGAACAGCAATTAGTACCTGGTACATGGTATAAATGGTCTATAGATGTAAGGTGCTGCTTTTTTTTTTTTTTTTTTTTTTGAGATGGAGTCTTGCTCTGTTGCCCAGGCTGGAGTGCAGTGGCATGATCTCAGCTCACTGCAAGCTCCGCCTCCCAGGTTCACGCCATTCTCCTGCCTCAGTCCCCCGAGTAGCTGGGACTACAGGCGCCCGCCACCACGCCCGGCTAATTTTTGTATTTTTAGTAGAGATGGGGTTTCACCTTGTTAGCCAGGATGGTCTTGATCTCCTGACCTCGTGATCTGCCCGCCTTGGCCTCCCAAAGTGCTGGGATTACAGGCATGAGCTACAGTGCCCGGCTTTTTTTTTTTTTTTTTTTGAGACAGTCTTGCTCTGTCACCCAGGCTAGAGTGCAGTGGCGTGATCTCAGATCACTGCAACCTCTGCCTCCCGGGTTCAAGCAATTCTTCTGCCTCAACCTCCCGAGTAGCTGGGATTATAGGTGCCCACGACCGCACCTGACTTATTTTTGTATTTTTAGTACAGACGGGGTTTCACCATCTTGGCCAGGCTGGTCTTGAACTCCTGACCTCATGATCCACCCGCCTCGGCCTCCCAAAGTGCTGGGATTACAGGCGTGAGCCACCGCGCCCAGCCAGGTGTTGCTTTTATTAGTACTATTAATTATTATAACACAGGTGTTATTAGGAGACTGCAGAGAAAACTGGGTTCAAACTCTGTTTTTTTCACTTCCTAGATGGTTGATTAAGGCAGGATATTTAAACTGATTGCCTGACCTATAAGACAGGGATAATAGTTCCTATGGCATACTGCTGCTGGGATGTTAAATAAAAGACTGGACTATGGCAAGAACACAACTGAAGTCTTCAATAGCCTATTGTCCTTATTATGGTAGTGGTGATTATTATTATTACCATTTCCTCCACTGTAGGGTCCAGCCCCACTGGGTCTGTGGATTTTTCTCCTCGTGTGTGGAGATGAGAGATCATAGAAATAAAGACACAAGACAAAGAGATAGAAGAAAAGACAGCTGGGCCCGGGGGACCACTACCACCTAGACGCAGAGACCGGTAGTGGCCCCGAATGCCTGGCTGCACTGTTATTTATTGGATACAAGAAAAGGGGGCAGGGGAAAGAGTGTGAGCCATCACCAATGACAGGAAGGTCACGCAAGTCATGTGTCCACTGGACAAGGGTCCCTTCCCTGTTTGGCAGCCAAGGCGGAGACAGAGAGAGGACAGCTTACACCATTATTTCTTCTATGTATTTCAAAGACTTTAAGTACTTTCGCTAATCCTGTTACTGCTATCGAGAAGGCAGAGCCAGGCGTACAGGGTGGAACATGAAAGCAGACCAGGAGAGTGACCACTGAAGCACAGCATCACAGGGAGACAGGCCTCTGGATGGCTGCGGGCGGGCCTGACTCATGTCAGGCCTTCCACAAGAGGTGGTGGAGCAGAGTCTTCTCTAACTCCCCCGGGAAAAGGGAGACTCCCTTTCCCAGTCTGCTAAGTAACTAGTGCCTTCCCCAGGCACTGACGCTACTGCTAGACCAAGGCCCGCTAGGTAATGGGCGCCTTCTCAGGCACTGGCCTTACCACTAGACCAGGGAGCCCTCTAGTGGCCCTGTTTGGGAGTAACAGAGGGCTTACACTTGTCTTCTGGTCACTTCTCACTGTGTCCCTTCAGCTCCTATCTCTGTATGGCTGGTTTTTCCCAGGTGATAACTGTAGAACAAAGATTATTATAATATTGGAATAAAGAGTAATGCTACAAACTAATGATTAATGATATTCATATATAATCATATCTATAATCTATTTCTAGTATAACTATTCTTATTCTATATATTAGCTTTATTATACTGGAACAGCTTGTGCCCTTGGTCTCTTGCCTTGGCACCTGGGTGGCTTGCCACCCACACTCTACCACTTTCTCCTTTGAGAGTTCTGATATAAGTATTTTAAAGTCATAAATCTTTTCTTTTAGTCAGGTTCTTTTTTTTTTTTTTTTTGAGACAAAGTCTCCCTCTTGTCACCCAGGCTGGAGTGCAATGGCGCGATCTTGGCTTACTGTAACCATTGCCTCCTGGGTTCAAGCGATTCTCCTGCCTCAGCCTCCCAAGTAGCTGGGATTACAGGCGCCTGCCACCATGCGCTGCTATTTTTTCTTTTTTTTCTGTATTTTTAGTAGAGACAGGGTTTCACCATGTTGGCCAGGCTGGTCTGGAACTCCTGACCTCAGGCGATCCGCTGCCTTGGCCTCCCAAAGTGCTGGGATTACAGGCCTGAGCCACCGCACCTGGCCTGAGTCAGGTCAGGTTCTTCCTGTCACCCAGGCTGGAGTGTGGTGGCATGATCGCAGCTCACTAAAGCCTTGATCTCTGGGGCTCAAGTGACCCTCCCTCCTAAGCCTCCCAAGTAGCTGGGATTATAGGCACCAGCTACCATGCCTGGCTAATTTTTTATTTTTTGTAGAGACAAGGTCTCGTTATGTTGCTCAGGCTGGTCTTAAACTCCTGGGCTCAAGCGATCCTCCCAGTGACCTTATAGGCATGCACCACCACGCCTGGGTAATTTTTACTTTTTGTAGAGACAAGGTCTCACTATGTTGCCTGGGCTGGATTCAAACTCCTGGGCTTAAGTGATCCTCCCGCCTCAGCCTCCCCAAGTGCTAGGATTACAGGTGTGAGCCACTGCACCCAGCTATAAATCTTAAACTTTCACATTTAGTAGATTAATCAGCACTGAAGTTGTATTTAAATAGATTCAAAAGTATGAGAAATAAGAAAAAAATGCTTTTGTGTTAAAGAAATTATTCAAACTTTCTAAATTTCAATACATACCTGTCTAACCCTTGCAACTTGGCACCATTTTTATTGAAGGGTAAATGGTTTGGGGGTAGGAGGGGTCTTTAACAGCTAACATTATAGTAAACATACTTAGGGTGGACAATATTTGTGAAAGGAAAAGCTAATTGGCAATATCACGTATGGGATTAAGAGTTCTCTTGTTGCTAGGTTTGTCCCTGACATGTCTCAAAAACCCCTCCCTCAAAGACCCACGGCCTTGGGGCCTTGACTCTGGGCTGCCCCCGCTGCAGTTCTTACCTCTCTTCTGCCCACTGGGTCACCTTCTGCTGCGCTGTCTGGCTGCTGTAGGCCAGGCGGTCAGGGCCGCTACTCTGTGGCTGCCTGTCGGGGGAGAGCTGCTGGCGGAGTTGCTCCAGTTCCCGCTCATACATGAGCCGCTGCTCCTCTAGGGCACTTCTCTTTTCTTCTAGGTATTGTTTCTCCAGGACCTGAACCACATTTTGAACTGGGTCTAGTGAGCCAAGAGACAAGGCAAGGTGTCTTAGTGGCGGCTAAAACAAGCATTCATGCCAGGCACTGCAGCCTGTGGGAGGCTTCCTCTAGCAAGGAATCTAGCCAGTCAATACGCTTTTTGTGAGAGGCCTGAGGGGCCACATCAGGGAAATCCTCTCAAATTCCTTGTTACAGACATTGCAGATAAATGCCCTTTATAAGTATACATTCTCCACATCCTCTACGTTACTTTCTTCAATTTGATGAGCTCATCCTAACGTTTAGATAAATCATTAACCTACTACCAGCAGATGGGGGAAGAGAGAGGAATGTGATCTTATCCACTGGGAAGAAAAACTTCACGAAATCTAGGACAATTCCAAACACAGAAGCACATAAGATTTGATCTTTCTTTATGGTAATTCATTTCTATGTCCATTTAATATCAGTTTTGGTATACGACAAAGATTTATGACTTTCACCACAAATCCTATTACTATTGAATTTCTCTAAGTGGGAGGAAACTTACAGATCACAGCACATGTTTGAAAATATTGCTTAAGGATATGGTCTGGCAATTTCTCAGACTAGTATCTAAAAGGACAATTCACTTGCAAAAATAATAAAAACCTGTTTCTAACATCTCACGTGTACAGGCACAGAGCTCACCACCATGCACATGGGTGAAAAGGTATAGATGTACTAACAGATCTTGCTCCAATGAGCTACCATGATGGTTGTGGTATAGGTAAATCCTAATGGGCTGGGCAGGATATCAACTTGGTAATGACCAATAAGCTGGATACTGTGGAGAAAGATCAAGGCTCTGGGTCACATGTACAAAAGGAGAAAGTTACTGACATCACTAAGTGAGGACAGTGTAGGGAAGGAGAATGTTAGACAATCTCAATAGTAGAACAAGAAAATCATCATCACAGTTAATATTTCCCAGAACTATATTGGACTGAGAGATGCATTCTCAGACCAGCCTGGGACATGATTTTCTCCTTGTACATTCACACATTTGCCTGCTATTCAGTGCCATTTATGCTGTATTCCCACACATTGGCACTCAGTTTAATTTCCAGAAAAGAAGCTGAAAATTAAAGTGACTCAGGAGGAATTTTTATATTACCTGATGATTGCTATTGACTGGTTTTTCCAAGATACCCTAACAACTTGTAAAATACACATGTAAATTGTAATAATTTTCTATATTAGCATTAAGAGAAAAAGATAGCATGTTAGCTTCAAAAAATAAAGTTAAATAATTCAAAACAAAAAGAATCAATTTTTTTAAAATCACAAGAAAAGCTCAGTATAGATGAGTTGTTTTAATAAAAATGACAACCACAATGGCAACAATAACTCTACTAGCTCCTGGCTACATCGCAAGTAGAGGTTCTATCTGCTTTGCATGCATCACTTCATGAAAGCTTTGCAACAAGCCTAAGTGTGGATATCATCCCGATTTTAAAAATGAGGAAACGGGGGCTCAAAAAGGCTAAACAGCTGATCTACAACACGTAGCTACAAAGTGACAGGGTCAGGTTTTTAACTCAGATAACTAACTAATTGGCTGGGGTAGGACATTCACTTGGTAATAAACTGATGTGGTACTCTTACCCCCAATGTTTTGCTTACAATTAGTATTCTGTGAAAGAGTGATACTTTTGAAAAAGATACTGTTTTATTGATATAAAATTCTAAAATTCAGCATGTTTTCAAAGAAGCAAAATAGTTTTCTTTGTAGAGTCCTGACATGAGTTCCTAAAATATATCACTTTTTTTTTTTTTTTTTTTGAGACGGAGTTTCGCTCTGTTGCCCGGGCTGGAGTGCAGTGGCGCGATCTCGGCTCACTGCAAGCTCCACCTCCCAGGTTCAAGCCATTCTCCTGCCTCGGCCTCCCCAGTAGCTGGGACTACAGGTGCCCACCACCACGCCAGGCTAATTTTTTGTATTTTTAGTAGAGATGGGGTTTCACCGTGTTAGCCAGGATGGTCTCGATCTCCTGACCTCATGACCTAAAATATATCACTTAAAAAGCTGATGGAAAATAAACTGGGGGCCAGGCGTGGTGGCTCACGCCTGTAATCCCAGCATTTCGGGAAGCTGAGGTGGGCGATCACTTGAGGTCAGGAGTTCAAGATCTGCCTGGCCAACGTGATGAGACCCTATCTCTACTAAAAACACAAAAACTAGTCAGGCGTGGTGGCATGTGCCTGTAGTCCCAGCTACTTGGGAGGCTGAGGCAGGAGAATTGCTTGAACCCAGAGGCGGAGGTTGTAGTGAGCTGAGATCGTGCCACTGCACTCCAGCCTGGGCAACAGAGTGAGACTCCATCTCAAAAAAAGAAAGAAAAGAATATAAACTGGGGGAAAAAACCCAAACCAAAAAACAAACAAAAAATCTTATGCAAACATAGATCCTGGGTGGGTAAAATATTATCTATATAATAACAACCTATGTATTCCTAAGCATCAGAACTTCTGACAAACTCCTATAACTTCTAAAAAAATATGAGAAATATGGTAAAATTTTTTTGAGGGCATCTGAAGACATTTTAAATGTAAGCTCTAGAGAAGAAAAGTTCTTTCAGAATTAAAAAAATATATACACATATTTCTCAAACAGTATATAGGCTCTGGGTTTAAAAAAGAAAGGACAGGGTGCTACAGTACTTGCCATCCATTTATATTTAGATGGAGCCCAACTGTCCTAACAGTGTTTATAAATCTTTTCCAGAGAAGCTGGAAAACACACCGTTTTATAAAACTGCATTATAGGGTTTTTGCTACGAGATACTGAATAAGATATATAATCCACATTTCCATTGTTAGTCAGTAGTGCAGAAACACACATGATCCCAAATGACTGGGGCAGAGGGGATCTCACCCCAAGGTTCCATGCTGACACAGGCCACGTGAGTGAGGCTATTTGAAACTGCACCAGCAGCTGTCATGACACAGCACTACCACTACTCACTAGGCATGATGAGTGGCCACAAATTGAAGTGCAAATACAGAAGACAGAGCAACTCAATCCGTCCTTCCTCTGAGACTCCCACAGTAGAGTCTTGTAAGCCCCATTCCCGAACTCCCAGATCCGCCCTCACCACACACAGCTACGGTGGAGGTCTAGGGGCTGGGGTTTTGTTTCGCCTCTGATCCCTAACATTAGTCTGCAAACACCTTTCTCACGGACAACTTTGATGACATTTTCTTTTCAAATCAATTAACCAGTTTCAAGTCTTTACCCCACACACAGCATATTTTCAAACAGACCATCCAAATCAGCAAGTCGATCTGACTCTATGATGTGGCCCAGGACGGAAGCCAAAGATTATTCAGCCCTTTCTCAAAATACCAACCAAATATCAAGAGATTGTCCACAGGTTTATTTTTCCTATCATTTTCCTTCTCTTGAATGAACTGTTTTAAATAGTGAGCCAGGTGCCCAAAGCCAAGATCTCAAAGAAGTAAGTATTTTAGGAAAAAAGAAAGGACCACGTTTACTTTGGGCATAGCACTTTCTCGTCCTCATTAGTTTCTTCTTTACTTAGTAGGTAACTATGCAATGAGCTCAAACCGACCCATCATCCCAAGAATGGAAAAGAAAAAATGGCGGTGGTAGTGGTGCTGGTAGCAGGGTATTCATATAAGAAAGAGAATTAGAATTAATTAACACCAAAATGTCTAAAAAACTGAATTGAGGGGAAACAGATCTTTGGAGAAAAAAAGAACTATTTGATCCCAGATGGAACAAACTGGCACTACGCATGACCCTTTGTCAGCCCCTTAATTGTTCTTTATTTTTAAAATGTTTTGTAGAGATGAAGGCTCACTATGTTGCCCAGGCTGGTCTCGAACTCCTGGCCTCAAGCAATCCTCCCACTTTGGCTTCCCAAAGTGCTGGGATTACAGGAGAGAGCCATTGCGCTTGGCAAAGTTGCACTTTCTTTAGAGCTGCCATTGACATTGAAAAAAGAGATGATTCTTATTTTGTCTGATTCCTATTTCAAACCCCTGGGAAGAAGGCATTATTGTCCACAAATACTAGGTTTCTTTTTACTTTTAATTCAAATGAATTGGATTTTAGATCAGTATTTACTCTAGAAACTAAAAAAATACATTAATCTTACCTATTACTGGGATACTGTAGGTGAATATATATCTGGAAGTACTACTGACCTGAACTGCTCTGCTGTCAACAGCAACAAAGCCATCGATAACAGCAGTAATAATACCAATAATACTTTTCAGTGCTGTTGCACACATACAGAATAGCTGCTGTTAGAGTTTAACCAAAATCTGGGAGGCAAATGGAATTGGGACATGGTGTGTGTGTGTGTGTGTGTGTGTGTGTGTGTGTGTTGGGGGTGGGGTGTTCATAATTGAAAAGGAACATTCCTCAATGAAGAATACAGAACACCTTCATCAGCCAGAAAACTCCAGCTTCTTCCCAATCATGTTAGTTAGATTTTTGCCAAAGCATGGAGCATGAGCATCAATCAGCAGCACTGCTAAAAACCAGCCAAGCTCCCTCATGCCAATGCCAATCAGTTAAAAACCTTTATCCCAGTGTTTGTGGAGGAGCTTCGTCTGAAACCACATGAGAGGAAAGAGGATCTTCAAATAAGACCACCAAGGGGATGACCACCAGGCAGACAGGCTTATTATCGGGAAGCCACCTAGCAGTAGAGGGGAATCACAGTGAACACCGTCCAGCCACCGGCACATCAGCACTTGCATCAGAGACTGTGTGTATGCCCCAAAGGGAAGCTCCACTGGAACTGGGTAAAGGATGGGGTAGGGGGAAACATAACTTCTTTTTTTTTTTTTTGTGATGAAGTCTTGCTCTGTCACCCAGGTTGAAGTGCAATGGTGCGATCTCAGCTCTAACTGCGGCCTCCACCTCCCAGGTTCAGGTGGTGCTCCTGTCTCAGCCTCCTGAATAGCTGAGACTACAGGCACGCATCACTACACCTGGCTAAATTTTTGTATTTTTAAGACAGACTGGGATTCACCATGTTGGCTAGGGTGGTCTCGAACTCCTGACCTCAAGTGATCCGTCCACCTCAGCCTCCCAAAGTGCTGGGATTACAAGCATGAGCCACTGCACCCAGCCATAAATATGACTTCAATATGGACAAAATCAACACTGGAGAGCAAGGCCTGATCTGGGATACAAAAGAATAATTCATGTTAACACTGTGCACCAGGCCACTGATGACTCCAATTGGTTTGGCTGAGAGGATCAGAGGAATTAACAAATGCTTACTGAATACTCATTGATTATTGAAGGAGTTAATTTATATATAAGAAGGTAGTAATTGATTCAAATAAGGAACCTGTGATCTCGGAGGGCTAAATGATTAAACTGATACCACCTGTAAACTCTGCAGAGTTAGCGACTAGAGATGTCTAGATTCTGTAACGTCCGCTGAAGCAATGAGCTGTCTCCAATGGGAGTTCCTCCACCTGGAGTTTGGAGTCTACATCCTCCTGAACACCCTATATCCACTCAGGCTTCCAAAAGATCACTCACAGCAGACTTGTTGCTCAGTTAGGTTGTTAAATAACCCATTAATGTGATTCTGATGTCTGAACGTCACTTCGAAATGTCTCTGGGATTCCTCCCAATTGGTGGGGAAGTAACAGAGTGGAATGAATCTTGACTCCTAGCTATGGTCCACCCTGCACTGCAGGGCCAAAAGCCCCAGTGGCTAATCTTAACACTCTACTCTTACTGTTTAAAGACAGAAATTGCCAAACTTTCTCATAAAGTTGTTTTTTCCTACTTTTTTCTTCATGGTTCTATACTTTTTTTTTTTTTTTGGAGACAGAGTTTCACTCTTATTGCCCAGGCTGGAGTGCAATGGCACCATCTCGGATCACTGCAACCTCCACCTCCCGGGTTCAAGCGATTCTCCTGCCTCAGCTTCCTGGGTAGCTGGGATTACAGGCACCTGCCACCATGCCTGGCTAAATTTTTATTTTTTAATTTTTAGTAAAGACGGGGTTTCACCATGTTGGCCAGGCTGGTCTTGCAGGTGAGCCACCTGCCTCATCCTCCCAAAGTGCTGGGATTACAGGCATTAGCCACCGTGCCTGGCCCCTATACTCTTTATATAAATACATTACACTTGTTTTTCACAGTCTGGCTGGCTGGCTGTCTTTCTCTCTCTCTCTCTCTCCCCGCCCCCCACTTCCCCCTCCCTGCCTTCCTCCCTCTCTTTTTCCTTCCTTCCTTTCTTTCCTTTCTTTTTTTGAAACAGACTCTCGCTCTGTTGCTCAGGCTGGAGTGTAGTCGTGTGATCTTGGCTCACTGCAACCTCCGCCTCTCAGGTTCAAGTGATTCTCGTGCTCCGGCCTCCCAAGTAACTAGGATTTCAGGCATTCACCACCACACCTGGCTAATTTTTGTATTTTTAGTAGAGACAGGGTTTCACCACGTTAGCCAGGCTGGTCTCGAACTCCCGGCCTCAAGTAATCTTCCTGCCTCAGCCTCCCAAAGTGCTGGGATTACAGGTGCAAACCACCATGCCTGGCTAATTTCTGTATTTTTAGTAGAGATGGAGTTTCACTATGTTGCCCAGGCTGGTCTCCAAATCCTGGCCTCAAGCTATCTTCCCGTCTCGGCCTCCCAAAGTGCTGGGATTACAGATGTGAGCCACCATGCCTGGCGTTTAATTTAAATTTCTTTTTTTTTTTTTGATAAGGAGTCTCATTCTGTCGCCCAGGCTGGAGTGCAGTGATGCGATCTTGGCTCAACCTCTGCCTCCTGGGTTCAAGCAATTCTCCTGCCTCAGCCTTCCGAGTAGCTAGGATTACAGCCATGTGCCACCATGCCTGGCTAACTTTTGTATTTTTTGGAGATATGGGGTTTTGCCATGTTGGTCAGGCTAGTCTCAAACTCCTGACCTCAGGTGATCTGCCCACCTGGGCCTCCCAAAGTGCTGCGATTTACAGGCATGAGCCACCACACCTGGCCCTACATTTCATTTTTATAATTAAAAAAAGAGGCCCCCTAGGCAAAAACTTCATAAACAGAAATCAATGAAAAGGCCAAAAGCTTTAATCCTGCAACAGAATCCCCAATTTGATATGCCAGAGATCTGATAATTCTCTCACCATGTGCTTGCCTTGGCAGCACATATGCCACAATTCTCTATGCTCAAATTCTTCCCAGATAGGCTCAAAGAGTAAAGTGAGAAAGCCAATGTTTAAGGGAAGAGCTCAACTGTGAAAAACAAAATGCTCGGCTGGGCGTGGTGGCTCATGCCTGTAATCCCAGCACTTTGGGAGGCCAAGACAGGCGGATCACGAGGTCGGGAGATTGAGACCAGCCTGCCTTAACACGGTGAAACCCCGTCTCTACTAAAAATACAAAAAAATTAGCCAGGTGTGGTCACGGGCGCCTGTGGTCCCAGCTACTTGGGAGGCTGAGGCAGGAGAACGGCGTGAACCTGGGAGGTGGAGCTTGCAGTGAACCGAGATCGTGCCACTGCACTCCAGCCTGGGCGACAGAGAGAGACTCCGTCTCAAAAAAAAAAAAAAAAAAAACAAAACACCAAAATGCTCTTCAAGCCCCCTGTCAGGTAGAGGCTGCCTGTCTTAGGGCCCTCAGGGCCCTGGAGGTCCACCCTGGTTCAAGTTAGGGAACCTCAGGTGCCCCAAGATCAGATGAATGAGAAGGAGAGGTTGGACTGAGCCTACAAACTACCTTTCTCAGGTACCCCTAAACAGCCTCAGTTTTATCCTCATAAAATCATTCTAGTCCCAGAAATGTCATCTTGTGGTTGGTAACAGGTGAACATTGCTTCTGGCTTCTAAGTCCCAGTCATCAAATCTAGCAATTAAGACACTGGGAGATGGGAAAAGAAAGGGCAGATTTATAAAACAGCAAAAAAGGAAAGAATTTGGTGTCTATTTTATTTAATGCAGGCAGGTGTGTATAGGCACAGAATAAGAAAGAAAAGGTAAAGGAACACGGACTTTTAGATGTGAAACTTGGTATAAGTCAAATAAAGAGGCTATAAAGCATTTCATTTTCACTATCATTTTTGTAAAAGTGATCTGGGCTTATTAAATAAATATCTTTGGGGTAAAATTTCCAATTGAGTTTATACTAAAATGCTGTGACTTTTATCTTTCCATAGATTATATTTGAAATTCCTGAATTTATATTCTGTTGGGGATTTTCACATTCTCAAGGATTCAGATATGACAGGCTCGATGATGAGAAATTTGGTAAGGAATTTTGTCAAAATCATTCAGTACTCTAGGCCCGTGGAAATGTCACCACAATTCGCTTGGGAATAAGAGGTCTCAAAAACGGGACCATCCATATCCTCATTGTAACTGAGGGAGAAGACCATCTCCCCCACATCTTGTCATTAGTTATTCACTGATGGCCTTTTAAAGAAATGAGCAGTTTTATGTGTTTAAAATGTGGAATGCGGAATGACACCTGATGCATGCTTATCCCTCACTGAATGGTGTGAGGTGAGGAAATGCCCAAGGCGCTGGAACACAGAGTGAGGGTCTTACCATTACTATTCAGGGTTTTCATGATAACTTCCATCTGTGCAAATTCATAGTTATAGTCTGGTTCAGAGGAAGCCTCACTGGCTGCATCCAGGTCATGCTCTGGCGGGCCCGTTTCTTTTTCAAAGTCTTTCAACCAATCTCGACGTTTCCTCTTAGGTAAGTTTATTCTGTGGGGTTTTTCACCATTAGAGAAAATCAACTTGTTTTACACTTAAATAGATAACAGAAAAAATGTATACGAAAATATATTACAGAACACAAAGATGTTACCTAAAAAAGTGATTATTTCCCCATAGGATTCGGTCACCATGCCACAGCTGGGTGGTACTGCACACAAGGGTGCCGTTCACACAGGACCTGGGAGAACACGAGGGAAAATACCAGGTAAATGGGAAGGAGCACAAGACCTTGTCCTGGTAGCCAAAGAGATAACTAGGGGAGCTTTCTCTTAATAAATGCATTCCAACTAACGCTTAAAGAAGGAAGAGCAGAATGTGTAACCACTATGAAAACACACAATCTAAGCCATGAGGACCAAGGGCTGCCAACACCCCTCAGAGAATGACAACCTAACATGATGCACTCCTGATGGAGACAGAAAGCACCACCCATGGCTATTCTTGTCAAAATTTGAGCTGAACCTGATCAAGCTTCCACATTTAAATGCCAATTTAGGAAATACAGAGAACAATGGAGGATGTGAAATGATGCCATGGGATGCAGTGAGCAAAATCCTGACTGTGGGAACCTCTAGGATCAACAATGAGGTGACTTCAACAAATAAAATGCAAGGAAGAAGAGAGAGAGGCAGAGAGAGACAGGGATAAACAGACACACACACACACAGAAGAGAGGAAGAGGAAACCCATTTGTTAAAAGAGATCTAAGAGGAATACTATAAAACAATGGTAGGATCTTATCTGGATCCTAATTTCAAGAAACAACTGAAAAAGAAAACTGATGAGACAACTGGGGAAATCTGAACACTGACTGGCTATATGAAGATTAGTAACGAATTATTATTAATTATTTTAGGTATGATGATATTGAAACTATATTTAAGAATCTTCATCTTTTAGAGAGACATAGTGAGATATTTATAGATACAATGTTATAAAATCTGGAATCTACTTTAAAATAATTTTTTTTTCTGGGCATGGTGGTGGGCGCCTGTAATCCCAGCTACTTGGGAGGCGAGGCAGGAGGTTTGCTTGAACCTGGAAGGCAGAGGTTGCAGTGAGCCGAGATCTTGCCACTGTACTCCAGCCCGGGCAACAGAGTGAGACTCTGTCTCAAAATAAATTAAAAAAAAAATAAATAAATAAAATAATTTTTTTTCTTTTTGAGACATGGTCTTACTCTGGTTGTCCAGGCTGGAGTGCAATGGAGCAACTACGACTCACTACAGCCTCAACCTCGTGGGCTCAAGTGATCCTCCCACCTCAGCCTCCCGAGTAGCAGAGACTACAGGTGTGCACCACTATACCAGCTCATTTTTCGTATTTTTTTGTAGAGTAGGGGGTTTCGCCATGTTGCTCAGGCTGGTCTTGAACTCCTGGACTCAGGCAATATGCCCCCCTTGGCCTCCCAAAGTGCTGGGATTACAGGTGTGAGCCACTGTTCCTGGCCTGCTTTAGGAAGGAGGAGGAGATATGGAAGGCATATAAATAACAAAACTGTCTATGAGATGCTCATTTTTAAAACTGGAGGATGGGTCCATGGGGTTTCATTATATTATTCTCTCTACATTTTTTTTTTTTTTTGAGACAGGGTCTCGCTCTGTAACCTAGGCTAGGCTACAGTGCAGTGCTATGACCATGGCTCACTGTAGCCTCGACCTCTTGAGCTTCAGTGATCCTCCCACCTCAGCCTTGTAAGTAGCTGGGACTAGAGGAATTGAACACCATGCCCGGCTAATTTTCTTATTTATTTTCTGTAGCAACGGTGTCTCACTATACTGCCCAGGTTAGTCTTGAACTCCTGGGCTCAAGCAATACTCCTGCCTCAGCCTCCTAAAGTGCTGGGATTACAGGTGTGAGCCACCCCGCCTAGCCAATTTTCTGGTATTTAAAAACAAAACAAAACACTGGAGGTGGACAAGATAACTAAATAGTTAATTGAAGGTTAATTTGCCAAAGGACTGTCAGGTAAAGTTTGAAGAAAGAAAAGAAATGTCACTTTGAGTTTTCATTTTCCAATAAGTTACTCTTTTCACTTACTCTCATAATTGGACTCCTGATCTTTACAGGGTTCTAAAGCTCAGAGTTATGGATTAAGTGGAACTAGAACTCGCATACAAAAATAGTCACTCCTTCACAGTAATCACTCTCTACAATCAGAAAGCAAGGGCCCCCTGAGGACCCCCATGTATCCTTAACTTTAATATAGCTGAAAGCAAACAGAAAGAGGCAGCCTTCTCCTTCTGAAAATAAGGCACACAAGACACGTGAAGTCACCATTTACTTTTCTTACCTTGCATTTTCTTTTGGAGTGAGAGTGACGTCTCCATCAGATGCAATGTCAATCTCACAGTGCTGAGGCTGAATTCCTATGCCAAAAAGCTGGATATCTTGAGAGGTATCTGCACCCACCCTGGTGTGATCCTAGTAAAAGATTATTAAGGAAAGAAAAACCCACATTTATGAGTAACTCAGCAAAAATGTATCACAATCAATTTGAATAACGCAGCAGCATATGCACAAAAATATTAAACGAATCCTGCCAGAGATGTTAAATATCTTAAGCATTAAAAGTAAAACGCTTACCCTTAATACACCAAATTAAAAAAAAATGTTTAAACACTACCAAAAAAAATCCCCAATCAACAATGATTAGTTATTGTTTTTAACACAGGAAATTGGACTTGACAGTAGAATACTTTGAGTTTCAATTGTGACTTGACCACGGGGAAGCCATTTCACTCTCTGAGCCTCAGTTTCTTTGTTGGCAAAACCAGAATAATATTATCTATTTCACCTATTTAGATTTCTTTTAGGATCATCTGAGTTAACAGTGAAAGTGTTTTGAAAACAGTTACATAAATTTAAGAACCATTAAAAAGCAGTTTCATTGACAGTAATATTTTAAAATATTCAACTTTGAAAATGCTAAAAATTTTGAATTTCTAATACTGATATTACATACAGTATTAATGCCTGTGGGTCATACCATGTACAAACGTGTGATTTTTTTTTTTTTGACATGGTGTCTCACTCTGTCACCCAGGCTGGAGTGCAGTGGTGCAATCTCAGCTCATTGCAACCTCTGCCTCCTGGGTTCAAGCCATTCTCTTGCCTCAGCCTCCTGAGTAGTTGGGATTACAGGTATGCGCCACCACGTCTGGCTAATTTTTATTTTTAGTACAGATGGGGGTTTCACCATGTTCGCCAGCCTGGTCTTGAACTCCTGGCCTCAAGTGATCCGCCCGCCTTGGTCTCCCAAAGTTCTGGGATTACTGGCGTGAGACTGAGAACATTTTAAACTACAAACATAAACATACAACCCTTAGCCCTCAGGGCTATAATATCATTACATGTCTCATAGACTCCGGAAAACTCCACCAATACATGCGTGATAAAATGAGAGAGCAGAGCCAAACAACATGTTCGTGTTTATATTAAAGTAGTTTTGACCTCACAGGCCTCATGAAAGGTTCTCAGAGACCCCAGATCACACTTTTAGAACTGCTTGCTTACACTGCAAAGTGAGAAATAGGACATCTGATTGACACTGATAGCGTCCAATACAGTAAACACACTGCACCTGGCCTCATGTGATTTTAAGTACCTGAACCTCAGACATACGAGGACTGTGACTATTGGTGATTCAGCCACTGCTTATCCCATTTTTTTCTATTGCTCTTAAAATAGTTTAATAACTATAATAATACCTCCCTATTTGACAGAGAAAGTATAAGGATTGGTCTTTCAAAATCAGGATTTCAGAGACAATTCCTTACCCCTACTCATTGCCTAAATGAACAGATCTTAAGTTTGTTGGGGGACTCTCAATAACTCAGGGGCTATTTGTACCAAATTTACACCTCTAGGAAAAGTAGAAGGTGAGGCTCCTTGCTTCAATTTTGGCTTATTCTCCATTGCATTTTATGTATTTACTAGGCAGATCAGAATCCTTAACAAGGTGTCTCACTGTTCTCAAGCAGGCAATACCTTCGCATTTAGAGATTCAGGTGTGTGGACAGCATATGTAAGCTGCCTTCAAGGCCCCAGGTCCCCAATCCTTGAAAGTTCGTTTCTGTAACTCAGAAAGTGTGTGTATGTGTGAGATTAAAAATGCCCTGATGGTTGGCTGAATGCCTTATGTCAGTCACAGTGTCCTAAATCAATGTCAATCAGATATCTTATTTCTCACTTTGCAGAGTAAGCAAGCAGTTCTAAAAGTGTGATCTGAGAACCCCCGGGGTCTCTGAGAACCTTTCAGGAGGCCTATGAAGTCAAAACTACTTCAATAGAAACATGAACATGTTGTTTGCCTTTGCTCTCTCATTTTATCATGTGTGTGTGTATTGGTGGAATTTTCCAGAGTCTATGAGACATGTAATGATGTTATAGCCCTGAGGGCTAAGGGTTGTACGTTTATGTTTGTAGTTTAAAATGTTCTCAGTCTTAGGGTCCAATACAGTAAACACGGATATAACCCAGACACATGAAAGTTCTTTGGAGTCCTTGATACTTTTTTTAAGAGTGTAAATGGGTTCTGAAGTCAGAAAATTTGAGAAATGCTACAGTAAGCTATCCAACGTGGCATGTCCTGCGACCACAGTGGCAACAGGGCGGCCCCATCCCACCTCTACACCTGAAGGGTGATTATGGGACCAAAAGTTATTTCCTGAGGATGTGGGTTTACAAGGGATAGACCTAGAAGAACATTGTTGTCTATTTAATCTAGGACGAGGGTCTCCTTTAGGCTTGTGTTGATCTTGAGATCTCCTTGGAATTACTCAGAAGCATAACTAAGAACCTCCAGAGCTTCTCAGGAGCTTTGTGGAAGAACACAGATATTCCCAGAATCCTCACCATCTCACACCTAGAGCCTTCTCATAAAGCTAGGCATCACCTCGACACCTACTGTTGCCCACTTATGCCACTCTGAAGCCTGGACTCACAGGAGATCAGCCCCAACTGCACAGCCCCAGATGATACAAAATAGCTGTTTTTCCTTCTCAGTGGTGATCGGAGGGCACTATCCATCTTAGTTTTACTGAGGGCTAAGCTGGATACAAAAAGCAACATCACAGAGACAGGCACCCAGATTCAACTACGAACTGTATAGGAATGAATCTTGATTGCATATGTATTTATATGTTCTCCTACCTTTAAATAATAAACCAGAAGTTCGTTAAGAGCAGGGTCTGCATTCAGATTGACTAAGTAGCATTTGTCATCCCCCACCTTGATACCGGACATCTCCAGGGAAATCCCCATGCTTTCAAGTTGTCGTTGTCTTTCCTGTGCACAAAAACAGACAAAAGAAGGAAACTCTGTTTGTTGTTCTATTCACAAGATGTATCCACGGAAAGAGTAAGTCACTGTTTCTGGGGACAATGCCAATGGGATTACACATGCTACTCTGCTCAACCACATTAACAGAGAGTCTACAGTGCATGACATCTTGTGGCAGGCGTGATAGGGGCACCAAGGATGAACCAGACACCATTTTGGCTCTTAAGGAGCTTAGAATCTAGTAGAGGGAACAAGACCACATAACTAGAGCACAAAAGAGGAGAGTGTTGTGCTATTGAAGGGTACAAAATGCCAGGGGCTTCCCAGGAGAGACATCATGATGGGTTAAGAGACCAAGAAAGGCTGCAGAAAGAGGATATATTTGAGATAGTTCTTGAAGCATAAGAATAATTTCAACAGAAATATAAAGATAGGGTGTTCTTGGGGCATGGCATACGGAAGCACACTAAAGAAAGGTTCTGGACATACTAGATGATTTCAGGGGCCAAGAACCCCTGGCAAATATCAGAAAGCAGTGAGAGTTAAGGCTGGAAGAGAAGGTTGGGTCTCTACTGCGGAAGGCCTTGTATTCACTCATTCATTCATTCATTCAAGATATATTTATTAGAGTCTACAATGTAGTAGGTATTGATCTCGGGCTGGGAATACAGCACTGAACCCAATGAAGTCCCGTCTTTCATGAAAAGTTATATTCTGGTGGGAGGAGACAGGCCATAAGAAAACAGTTAAGTCAATATGGTACATAGAATTTCCAATGGTGTTAAGTACTATGGAGAAACATAAAGCAATGTTAAGCGGGACAGTGAGTGAGGTGTAGGGGTATGTGTGGGTGTGAACGATATCTATAAGAAACACATCAGCAGAAGGCTGGACTGGGTTCCAGTGACTGCTGTTAAGCTACGTGATTGGGATGGTCCAATATTTCCAAATGATCAATGAGATTAAAAATGTTCGTGAAATATATAATGTAGAGAAATTCATAATGCACATAACCCCGAGAATTAGTCCTTCCTTTATATTTTAACTTAAGTAAAAGTTAAAATATAAACATACAGCATTTCCTAACAAGCCCAAAGAATCAAATACATTGAAAAATTATGATATGCTATACGTTACAAATTCTCTGTCAATTAGGTAGCCTCTTGGGAGGCTAAGGCGGGTGGATCACCTGAGGTCAGGAGTTTGAGACCAGCCTGGCCAACATGGTGAATCCCTGACTCTACCAAAAGATACAAAAATTGGCCAGTTGTGGTGGCACACACCTATAGTCCTAGCTATTTGGGAGGCTGAGGCAGGAGAATAGCTTGAACTGGGGAGGCGGAGGTTGCAGTGAGCCAAGATTGCGCCACTGCATTCCAGCCTGGGTGACAAAGCAAGACTCCATCTCAATAAAAAATTAAATAAATAAAAATAAAATAAAATAAAATAAAAATCAGGTAGCCTCATGCTTTGCCAGGTGATCTAAAAATCACAAAACAAGGCTGGGCACAGTGGCTCACACTTGTAATCCTAGCACTTTGGGAGGCTAAGGTGGGTGGATTGCCTGAGCTCAGGAGTTTGAGATCAGCTGGGGCAACACGGTGAAACCCCATCTCTACTAAAGTACAAAAATAATTAGCCAGGAGTGGTGGCGCAAGCCTCTAGTCCCAGCTGCTCGGGAGGCTGAGGCAGAAGAATCGCTTGTACCCAGGAGGCGGAGGTTGCAGTGAGCCGAGATTGCGCCACTGCACTCCAGCCTGGGCGACAGAGAGAGACTCTGTCTGCAAAAAAAAAAAAAAAAAAAAAAAAAAAAATCACAAGGCAGACTTTCGTTTAAATGTGAAGAGCAGGAAATATGAATGACATTTTCTGTAACCATGCTTGTTCAAATTTAGTGCTATCTAACACGTCTAGCAAATATACAGGCCAAACTGTACATTGATAAAAAGACCTGACGTCAATGTCTAAAAGTGATCTTTGCTGGGCGAGGCACAGTGGCTCATGCCTGTAACCCCAGCACTCTGGGAAGCTGAGGCAGAAGAATCACTTGAGCTCAGAGTTTGAGACCAGCCCGGGCAACAAAATAAGACCACAGCTCTACACAAAATAGATAAAATTAGCTGGGCATGGTAGCACATGCCTGTGGTCCCAGCTACTTGGGGGGACTGAGGGAGGAGAATCACTTGAGCCCAGGATGTTGAGGCTGCAAGAGAGCTGTGATTGAGCTGCTGTACTCCAGCCTGGGTGACAGAGGGAGACCTTGTCTTCAAAAAAAAAAAAAAAAAAAAAAGTGATCTTTGCAATCTCTGGTTCAGCAGAAAAGGGCCCTTAAAAGACTTTCTGAGGCTGGGTGCAGTGGCTCATGCCTGTAATCCCAGCACTTTGGGAGGCTGCGGCTGGCAGATCACCTGAGGTCAGGAGTTTGAGACCAGCCTGGCCAACATGGTGAAACCCCATCTCTACTAAAAATATAAAAATTAGCCAGGCATGGTAGTAGGCACCTGTAATCCCAGCTACTCGGGAGGCTACGGCATGCGAACTGCTTGAGCCCGGGAGGTGGAGGTTGCAGTGAGTCGAGATCACGCCACTGCACCCCAGCCTGGGCGACAGAGTGAGACTCCGTCTCAAAAAAAAAAAAAAAAAAGACTTTCTGAAGATGACAGCAAACTACACAGAAAAGACAATAAGTGAAAAAGAATCCCAATATTTTAGGGCTAAATTATCAAGCTACCTGTGCTATCTCTTCTGTTTTTCTCAGCTTCTCTTCCCAAGTCACTGTTAGTTCTTTTATCAGCTTTTCAGACTCTTCGAGCTTCTCCTTCAGTTCAGGGGCCTTCATGGCCTTTAAAATGAAATCAGAGATATCTGATGTTCAAAATTTTTCCACCATCATATACAAGACAATCAGTTACTGTCCCTCTTAAGCAGTTATCAATAGTCTGTTGGAAAAAATTAAGTTATATGCTGTTAGGGTGGGTTTTTAACCTTTATTAATCAAACGAATGTAAGAGAACATGGCTGTTCCCTGAAAAAGAAATACCAGTGTCCTGAATGAAAATGAAACAAATCATTAGTCATTTTATCCATTATACTTAAATTTCACATTTAAAGCCCTAAAAGATGCTAACGTTCAACTTTGAAATAGATAAGCAGGACAAAAGGTTACTTAAGCAGACTTCTTTTTCAATAAGACGGAGGTTAACACTCATCATCAATAAATGAATTCCAGTTAAATTAATCTGCTAGAAAAGGTAAAGACTTCTCATGTATTTTAAATTTTGAATCTGGGCCTTTAGACTACCTTTCTCCACTGATGGTCATGCATTTTGTTATTTATCATTATCATTCACCCAGAAGCAGCACAGCTGGCTAAAAAGGCAGTGGTTTCCCTTCTAGTTTGTTCAGGGAGAGTAACTAAGAGGTTTCAATACAGATACTTGCAGCTTAACAAAATTTTGAGGGGAGAGGCCTTTACTTGTCAATAATATGCTTTGACACCTTAAAGTAACATGAGCCTCTACAAAGTTAAAACTCTATGAACAAGAAAGATGGCAGAGCTTGGACAAGAAGCTGGGATGTGATGATCTGGAAGCTAGCTGAGTATGCCTGAGGCTCATGGTATTAACAGAGCCTGACAGTGGCATTTAGTGCTGAGTACAGTGGGACATATATGAAAATTATAGGCCAGGCCAATGGCTCCTGCCTGTAACCCCAACAGTTTGGGAGGCTGAGGTGGGTGAATCACTTGAGACCAGCCTGGCTAACATGGCGAAACCCTGTCTCTACTAAAAATACAAAAAAAATTCACTGGGTATAATGGCGCATGCCTGTCTGTAATCCTAGCTACTTGGGAGGCTGAGGCAAAAGAATCACTTGAACCCAGGAGACAGAGGTTGCAGTGAGCCAAGATGGTGCCACTGCACTCCAGCCCGGGCAACAGAGAGACTCTGTCCACCCGCCCCCGCCAAAAAAAAAAAAAAAAAAAAAAAAAAAAAAAAAAAAAAAAAAAAGAAACAGAAAAAGAAAATTCTAGGTGGACCTATGTGGCTGGCTCTTCTTCTGTTTCCTTCAGCCAGGTATTGCTTGAGCCATCTCGCCCAGATTATGTGGTCACAGTAAAAATGCAAATAAGTAGATAATCCACCTATAAACACATTGCAGAACCATTATACTTTCCTCCTAGCATCATGACTATTTTCAAGGTTTATCAGCATTTTTATTTTTCTGGTGTTTTGCTACCCTTCTTACAATCTATCTGAAAATTATACTTTATGCACTGAATGATTATAAATTATAATAAAAATCAGCAACATTTATTGAGAACTTACTATGTGCAAGGTATTGTGGTAAGTGCTTTCTAGTATCAATGTTAGGCTAGGGGTTGGGGATAAAAAAATCAATAAAACACAGCATCTTGTACTTTAAGAGCCACAGCCTGGAAGAAGAGAAAGATATATAAACAAACAATTACAATGTAATGCCAAGATCACCAATTAATAGAGTATTCAGACTCTTGGCTTCACCTTTTTGTTTTTTCAGTCTTCTATTGATTACTTTTTGATAAAATATGCTGATGGATAGAAGTATTAACATAGTGCCTGGCATGTAAATGCTCCATAAATAATGGCCATTAACTGTGTTTTTCTTTCTTTCTTTTTTTCTTACAACTTAGTACTCTCCCAACTACAGTGGGGTCAGAAGAGAGTGGTGAAGGAATGTGAACTTAGAAGTGTCAGATACACTCCCAAGTCCTGGCATGTGGAACCCTGTGACTTAAACTAAGGCACTTGGCCTCCAAAGCTGTCCTCTTAAATATTTCAAATAAGACAGTGCCTCACCCAATAATTTGCAAAAAGCAACACCTATTTAGAAGAGTATATCATTATTAAAGTTTCAGTAAAGCCAAAGAAAGAAGATAACAATGCAAAAAGATTTTGTTTCTTGTCAGGGCCTGATATAAATGGAAAAGAAAAAGATTTCTGAATTATTCCTAATGTTTAATTATCTTTGATCACGCCGTTTCCACAGCTTAACAAGGAGATAACACCTAACTAAATTCTCTGAAAATTGCAAGGCCCTGTGGAAATAATAGTTTATAATGTTAATATAAACAACATACTTTCCCACTGAAAGTTCAAAGGCCAACTGATTTAGGGAAGCAAATGATCAGGTAGTAGCAGGAATTATCTCTTATTTGTTTGTTTCCATGACTATAAGTTCCTAGGACAGAGTATGGTATTACTCATGTTGGTCCTCACAATGCTTAGCATTTGGCAGATGCCAATAAACACTGAAGTGCTGAACCACATTGAGATGATGTATTAGTCAGTTCTCACATTGCTATAAAGAAATACCTGAGATTGGGTAATTTATAAAGAAAAGGGGGTTTAATTGGCTCATGGTTCCACAGGCTGTATGAGAACTCACTATCACGAGAACAGCAAGGGGGAAGTTCGCCCCCATGATCCAATCACCTCCTACCAGGCCACTCCTCCAACACTGGTGATTACAATTCAACATGAGATTTGGGTAGAGACATAAATCGAAACCATATCAGATGACCTACAATTGCAAATGAGCACACCCTTGCCAGTCAAATCCCGCAAGCCAGGGAACTTTACCAGCAGGGAGTACCAGGCTGCTTTTACCTCTGCCTGAGAGAGCTGCTCTCTCAGTTTCTCGACTTCCTCCCGCAGTTCTCGGATCACTTTTGCGTTGGGGTCCTCATTCACAACAGCATGGTTCACAATCCTTTTGGCTCGGTCTGCATATCTTAATGTGGAGAGGGTCTCTTCATAGTTGTCTGCGGCTGGGCTGATTGTGGCTATCATAGAGGTTTGGCTGTTGCCCCCCAAGTTGTCCTGCCAAGTATTTCAAACAGCATCTTAGGAAGCCCATTCCATGGACAACACATATGATAAAAGCACTAAATGTGTTAGGTATGACATTATTCTCTATGAAGGAAACATTATGTGGAAATGGACTTGCATTTCACAAATAACGTCATGACAAGATGAAATGTGTCCTCTCTATATTCAAGCAATGAATAAGGCCTGTCAAACAGCATTCAAATGGAATAAAAAGGAGTAGAAAATAGTTTTCATTCTGTGTTCCTAGGAATTAGAATAACTGTCATCAGGAGAGTTCTTTAGGTATTTGGTTAGCTTTGTACACACCTTTACTCTGTCACATCTGGAATAGCCAATTTTTAGTTGGAAAAGAACACTAGAGCAATGGATTACCTTAAGCAGCCAAGTGAGGACTGAATCTCGATAAGGCACAAATTTGCTTTTACCCTTGCCAGCTGCCTGGTCAGCCAGTGATGATATAACCAACCCCAAGGTTGTAAGCGATCTGTCAAGAAAAAATGAAAAATTAGTTTTATGGAATGTTTATTTGGTTTAAGTATAAAATATGCAGAACAATAAAGCTCCACAGTTAATACACGTTGGTGGCTCACGCCCGTAATCCCAGCACTTTGGGAGGCCAAGGTGGATGAATCACTTGAGGCCAGGGGTTTGAGACCACCCTGGCCAACATGGTGAAACTCTGTCTCTACTAAAAATACAAAAAATTAGCTGGGCGTGGTGGCAGGTGCCTGTAATCCCAGCTACTTGGGAGGCTGAAGCAGGAGAATCTCTGGAACCCGGGAGTTAGAGGTTGCAGTGAGCCGAGACTGTGCCACTGCACTGCAGCCTGGGCGACAGAGTGAGACTCTTTCAAAAAAACAAAAACAAAGAAACCCCAAAAAACCAAAATATCATAAAAAGAAAGTGCTTTGTAAATGGTTTAAAAAGTTAAATGCAGCTGGGAGTGGTGGCTCACACCTGTAATCCCAGCACTTTGGGAGGCTGAGGCAGGTGGATCATGAGGTCAGGGGTCAGGAGATCAAGACCATCCTGGCCAACATGGTGAAACCCCATCTCTACTAAAAATACAAAAATTGCCAGGCGTGGCGGCGTGTGCCTATAGTCCCAGCTACTCGGGAGGCTGAGGCAGGAAAATTGCTTGAACCCGGGAGGCGGAGGCTGCAGTGAGCCAAGATCGCGCCACTGTACTCCAGCCTGGGCGACAGAGCAAGACTCCATCTCAAAAAAAAAAAAAAGTTAAATGCTACTACAAATAACAAAGAAGGACACAAACTAGCAAGTGAAAGACTAGACAGCTTTCTTTGTAATGTTAACAATAGATTTCCATCAAATAAGCTGAAAGGAAAGCAGCCTATTTCCCACAAAACATAATTCCCCAAAGACGAGTCACTGAAAAGTCCCCGAAATATAATATAAACTCAAGATTCAGAAAATGAACCAGAATTCATTTGATCAGAATGGCTGTTAGAATTTTAATAACAGCCATTACCACAGAGTGGCATAAATATGTACATCATCTTAAGTGAAACAAGTCAAAAAAATTAAAATAAAAATATATAAAAGAAACAAGTCAGACACAGAAAAACAAATATTGCATGTCCTTACTCATAAGTGGAAGCTAAATAACGTGTACTCATGGACATAGAGACTGGAATGGACAATGGAGACTTGGAAGGGTGAGGGAGTGGAAGGGGAGAGGATGACGAGCTTATTTTTTTGTTTGTTTGTTTTTTGAGATGGAATCTCGCTCTGTCACCCAGGCTGGAGTTCAGTGGCATGATATGATTTTGGCTCAATGCAACCTCCACCTCCCAGGTTCAAGAGATTCTCCTGCCTCAGCCTCCTGAGTAGCTGGGATTACAGGCGCCCGCCACCACATCTGGCTGATTTTTGTATTTTTAGTAGAGATGGAGTTTCACAATGTTGCCCAGGCTGGTCTTGAACTCCTGATCTCAGGTGATCCACCCATCCTGGCATCCCAAAGTGCTGGGATTATAGGCGTGAGCCACTGCGCCCAGCCAAGAAGCTTAATTAATACTTAATGAGTACAATGTATGTTATTCAGGTGACGGATACCTTAAAAGCCCCGACTTGACCACTGCACAATCTGTGCCTGTAACAAAATTGCACTTGTACCCCATACATTTATCCACAAAAATGTACATCATACTTGACAGATTTAAAGGTGAAACAAATCTAACCCAAGAGAAGTGAAAACATAAGTCTACACAGAAACTTGTACATGAATATTCAAAGCAGCTTTATCCACAAAAGTCAAAATGTGGAAACGACCACATGCCCATCAAATGATGAAGTGATGAATAAAATCTGGTATATACACACAGTGGAATATCATTTGGCCATAAAAGGGAATAAGTTCAGATACATGTATCACAACAACTACAACACGGATGAACCCTGGCAAATTATTTTACGTGAAAGAAGCCAAACACAAAAGGCCATTGTCCTGGGTTGAACAGTATTCATGTCCGCCAGACCCTCAGAATGTGACCCTATTTGGAAAAAGGGTCCTTGCAGATGTAATCAGTTAAGATGAGATCATACTGGATTAGGGAGGGCCCTAATCTAATGAGTGATGTCCTTATAAGAAGGTCATATAAAGACACCCAGGGGAGACGGCCACGTGAAGATGCAGGCAGAGACTGGAGTGATGCATCTACAAGACAGGGAACGCCGAGGATTGATGGCCCTACAGAAACAAGGGGAGAGGCATGGAACAGATTCTCCCTCTGACCTGCTAAGAGGGAACAAACCCTGCTGACCCCTTGATTTCAGATTTCTCGCCTGCAGAATTGTGAGAAATAAATTTCTGTTGTTTTAAGCTACTCAGTTTGTGGTAATCTGTTACAGTAGCAATAGCAATCGAACACAGCCATATACTGTATGATTCCATTTATATGAAATATCTAGAATAGGCAAATCTATAGAGATGGAGGCAGTGGTTGACTAGGGCTGTGGGTGGGGGTAATAGGGAATGATTTGGATACAAGGTTTCTTTTGGGTATGATGAAAATGTTTTAAAATGAGACTGTAGTGATGGCGGTACAACTCTGAATATATTAATGCTACTGAATTGAACACTTTACAATGGTGAATTATATTGTATGTGAGTTACTTAATACAGCTGTTCAAAAAAATTAAATATGTCCAATCACTCCTCCAAAGGTAACAATTTTATGAAAAAAATACTGTATGTGATAATAGAGGCAAGTAGGAGTTCAATAAAAGGTAAAAACACATTTCTGCTTTAATATAGAATACAGGGCATTTTTTTCACATTTTGCAACTATTGATATTTTTGATTGGAAACAATTCTTTGAACTATCCCAGATATTTTACTATCTATGTGTGGCACATATTATTTTAATTCACACAAGCTCTAAAGAGTTCAGTGACTTAAAAGTCAATATTAGTAACTTTATGGTTGACAGTGACCTTTCACATGAAAATACATTTTGGAGATGACATGGATTTATCCATCACCGAGAGAAGACTTTCCTCTACTTTGTGGCAACTACTTATAATTTCTACTTTGACAGTGTAAGGGGGAAACACAGAAAGTTTCTAGTACTCCTAAATGTAGAAACATAAAATCCAAATAGCGCTTTGAGAGAAAAAAGGAAAGATACAGTGTCATCAATGTCCATCATATGTCTTGTCTGCAAGCTGACTGAAGGATGCCAGAATATGGATTATTTTAAGCTAGAGGCCACTGAGAACCAGCAGACTCAGGAAAAGCTCTAAAAACATGGCATCAATTTTCCTTTTGTAAAGGACATTTCCATTTGTAGAGGTGTCTCCCTCTCTAGCACCAAGAAGGGAAGTACTGTTAACAACTCTTAAAGGTGGAGAAACTTCTGTGTCACAAACTTCTCTAGACAACTCTTATTCACCATACTTTTCCTGGTCACCTTCCCATAACCTGCCTCCCGCATCCAGAAGCCCAAAACCCCTTTTCCTTTTTTTTTTTTTTTTCCAAAGACAGGGTCTCACTTTGTTGCCCAGGCACTGGCACAATCATGGCTCGCTGCAGCCTCAACCTCCCAGGCTCAAGCGATCCTCTTATCTCATTCTCCTGAGTAGCTGGAACTACAGGTGCATGCCACCACACTCAGCTAATGTTTTGTAGAGAAGGGGCCTCACTTTGTTGCCCAGGCTGGTCTTGAACTACTGGACTCAAGGGATCCTCCTGCCTTGGCCTCCCAAAGTGCTGGGATTTCAGGTGTGAGCCACCATGCCCAGTCGTATGCCCAAGTTATACCTACCACTTTGGGTTATTAATCTCTGGGTGCTCCCATGCATAAGCAAGATGCATATGCTAATAAAATGCTAGTTGCTTTTCTCTTGTTAATCTGTCTTTGGCCAGTCTAATTTACAGGGCAAACAGACGAAAAATATTTTTTCTCCCCTACATCAGTATAGCATGTAAGCAGCAGCAGCAGAGGGGTGGAGCTGTATGGAAGTGTTATATAACTCCAATTCCCATGTATATTTTGCTCTGTAACTCATCCAGTTACAGAAGTGTATCATTAGTAGAAGCCGCCCCTTTTATCTAATAGTATCCACACATTCAAAACAAGAACTCTATCTAAATCTATTACCATCCCCTTGGAACAGAATGAAAATAACTGCAGGGTGAGTGGGACTCAATGGCAAGTGAGAGACAATCAGGTCACCCAGGGATGAGGAGCCCATGCTATCCTTTTTGTCTATGTTCCACTCAGAAGCAATGATGCAGGGGCTTCTGGAATCCCAAAACCTGTTAGAAAGTTCAACGTCTGAAAGGCGAATCACAGGCTTATATGTCTGTGTGTTTGTGTGTCTACATACACACACACACATACATGTAAGTACATGTATGTATGTGTATATACACATACGTGTGTGTGTGTGTGTGTGTGTGTGTGTGTGTGTATACACTTATACATATATTATTTTTTTTCTTTGAGATAGGGTCTTGCTCTGTCGCCCAGGCTGGAGAGCAGTGGTACAATCCTGGCTCACTGCAGCCTTGATCTCCCAGGATCAAGTGATCCTCTCACCTCAGCCCCCTCAAGTAGCTGAGACCACAGGTGTGCACCACTACACCTGGCTAATTTTTAAATTTTTTTGTAGAGATGGGGTCTGGCTATGTTGCCCAGGTTGGTCTCGAACACCTGGGCTCAAGTGATCCTCCCACCTCAGCCTCCCAAAGTGTTGGGATTACAGGCATGAGCCACTGAGCCTGGCCAGGCTTACATATTTTTATGAATTATTTTATTCCCAGGGAACTTAAAAATATAAAAAAACCACTAAGTATTGATCCTGCTAATACTGTCTTCTCAAGCTGGAGGCCAGCGGGCAGCCTGTTGGCCTCACAGGAATCCAGAACAAGGGAACAGCTGTTTGCCAATGTTAGTGGCAAAATAAGTTATTCCAGGAATCTTTCTGATTCTACTAAAGCACAGCTCCTAAAGTTGGATATAGTAAGGAGGCTCTTAATCTTTAAATCTCTCACCATAAGTTCTTAGGCAGGGGTGGGAGGGCCTAACTGGAGAGGAAGTAAGTCTTAAGCTAGGAGATGACATTTATAAAAGGACAGTCATGTTTTAAGATAGAATTTTTTTTAAAAAAATCTATCAATCATAATGAAGAACTAAGGATAAAAAAAGTAAAAGAAAGTTGGGAGGGTCAAAAGCAAAATAAAAGCCACTCCAATAAATATAATCAGTGAGAAAAAACCGAGTTATAATCCAACTTTTTTTTTTTTCTTTTCTGCACCTTCACCTAACCTGCACCGTTTCCCCTGAAACTCTGACCATTAGATTTCTTTCCTTAGGAGTGGATATGATGTACATATTATCTGTATTGCATAGGATGGATTTCAAATATTATTTTACTTATTAGTCCAATAATCAGTTCTAAGATCATATATATAATACTTATTAAACTTTATTGGAGTTATTTGTGTAGCTATTTCTCTGCTTTTCTATTTAGATTGTGATTACCTTGAAGGCAGACGGTGTAATTTGCCATACACATTCCTCCATGCAATTACTGTGCTTGGTTTATGACTGAAAGCACTCAGTAAATATCTGCAGCGTTAATCTGAATCTAGATTCAGTGAAGACCAAAACATGGACCTCTGTTTAAAAAGGACTAATTCAATGATGGTTTTGGGATACATCGAGTGCTACTTGCTAACAGAACACTGGTTTTCCTGGAAGCAATGTGCTGGGCTAAAAACTCTATTTTCCAAAGTCCTCTCTGCAGCTTCGGGTAGCCATTAAACACAGTTCTGGCCAAGGAGATGTAGGTAAACATTACTGGGTGGGGCTTCCAAGAAAACTGTTGTTCTTCTGATAAAAGAAGGTACAAATTCAGCTGACAGAAGCCTGTGGTTTTTTGCCCTTCCTCCTTTTTCCTTCTTCCAGTTTGTACCACAGATATGGATACGATGTTTGGAATGATAGAGCTATCCTGAGATCATGAAGATGACATGAACACACATTAAAGTTAGTAGAGCTGTGTGCATTTCTGAGGTGCTGTACCAGCCTCTGGACTTCCTGTTAAATGAGAAAAATTAACTCACGTCATTGTCAGTGTAGCTGGTTTCTGTTGCTTAGAGCAGAATGCAATCCCTGGCTTTGAAATAATTAGTTGAGGCTGGGCACAGTGGCTCACGCCTGTAATCCACCACTTTTGGAGGCCGAGGGGGGCACATCACCTGAGGTCAGGAGTTTGAGACCAGCCTGGCCAACATGGTGAAACCCTTCCACTACTAAAAATACAAAAATTAACTGAGCGTGGTGGCGCACGCCTATAATCCCAGCTACTCGGGAGGCTGAGGCAGGAGAATCACTTGAACCCAGGAGATGGAGGTCGCAGTGAGCCGAGATCGTGCCACTGTACTCCAGCCTGGGTGACAGAGTGAGACTCCATCTCAAAAAAAAAAAAAAAGAAAGAAAGAAAGAAAAGAAATAATTAGTTGAAAGATTGATGAAATAAGTGGATTTGAGTTTAGTGTTCTCCCCAATAAGTCCTCACTCTTAACAGTAAAGCAGAAATGGAAAAGAATATGGATGGCAAATTATGAGTAAAGGACAGTACCATCACATGACAGGAGAGCAAAGAAAATGGTAATAGCTACAGTATCAGCCTCATTTCCTTTCAAATTGTTTTCCAGTGGTTAATGCCAATCATTAAACTCAATGTTCATCAACCGTTGTGGTAGAACAATAGAGTACATACTGACATTTCTGAAAATGTTAGTGTATACTTTAAAATGTTACTGTATACTTTATTGTTCTAGGGATCTTAACATATGTTGAACCTAGAATTCTGTCATCAAGTAAGTTTAGGGAACAACAAGCCAAAGTTTTACAGGATTTATTACTGCAGGACGTCTCCGAGCTTTTAGCACTGTGAATCTCCAAAGAAAGGTTTTATAATTATTCTTTCTCAAAATAACTTGTCCAAGGATTTGTTTCTTCTCAAAGCCATTTGAGGAACTAATGTTAGACAAAAATGCTTTAGGAAACCTTGGGTAACCCTATCAAATTCTTCCAACGATGTGGCTACTGTGTCCCAAGGAGCAGAGTTTTGCTGTCCTTGATGGGTCTCTCACATTAAATGCAAAGATGTCTATCCAGGTTTTTAATTCACATGTATGGACTCCGTAATGTACAAGTCATAAATTAAGAAGGACACCCACCCTTGAGTAATGGACAGAAGTAAGCCATTTTATTTTTCTCCCTCAATACAAATTCATGTTTTGTTATTCAGGAAATACCTCTTTAGAGTGGGACTCTAAATGAACCAGAATCATGGAAAGTACTCAAGAAGAAAAAAAGGAAGACTGAGTGTATTAGTCCATTTTCATGCTGCTGATAAAGACACACCCAAGACTGGGTAATTTTTAAAGAAAAAGAGGTTTAATGGACTCACAGTTCCACGTGGCTGGGGAGGCCTCACAATCATGACAGAAGGCAAAAGGCACATCGGTGGCAGGCAAGAGAGAGAATGGGAACCAAGGAAAAGGGATTTCCCCTTATAAAACCATCGGATCTCGTGAGACTTATTCACGACCATGAGAACAGCATGAGGGAAACCGCTCCCATGATTCAATTAACTTCCATTGAGTCCCTCCCACAACACGTGGTAATTATGGAAGCTACAATTCAAGATGAGATTTTGGTGGGACACAGCCATACCATATCACCAAGTCACATGAAATACTAGAAATACCATGCTTACAAGTTACTCTATTATAACAAATTATACTGATACAATCCCAGAAGTAACATATATGAATTTCTATAGAACAAGTGTTCAATAGAACCCACTTTTGGAGATGTTAGCTTATTGATAAGATGTTAGCTTATTAACCACAGGAATTGAAATAGGAATGAGACTGGGAACGATACCCATTAGATAAACATTGTTTGCATTTAGTGACTAGCCATTACTGAATAAAATGGAACCATTTTCAGTGTCTGGGGGTATTAGAGAGTGCTCTATGATCCAAATGTGTTCTCAGCAAAGCTGAAGCAGCCAGACTGCAATTACAAGGAAAAGGCTTCCTCATTCCACCTTCACTAGACAGGTGGAGCAGCAGATTGGCTTTTCAAATGTATTCCCCTGTGAAGATGGTCCACAGATGACCTATACCTCCTAAGCTCTGAACACTCCCTGGCAGTAGGCCACGCAGTGTCTTAATTCTTTAATGAAAGGAGTAACATGTGCTTAAAGGTCTTAAGAGCTTCAGGAGACATGAAGTTCCTAAATCCACAGCCCATTAAGCAGACACTGACGTTTGTGTGAAGTCCCTGACAGGCCTGCTTAAGAGGATTATTAATGCTCCATCCAAAGAAACGTTAAGTGGGAGGACGAGAGAAAGCTTAAGAACATGTCAGAGATTTCTTTAGTTTTGGAACTCAACCTTTTTTTTTTTTTTTTTTTTTTTTCTGAGACAGCCTCCTGAGTAGCTGGGATTACAGGCGCCCACTACCATGCCGGGCTGATTTTTGTATTTTTAGTAAAGACAGGGTTTCACCATGTTGGTTAGCTTGGTCTTAAACTCCTGACTTCAAGCGAGCCACCTGCCTCAGCCTCCCAAAATGCTGGGACTACAGGGGTGAGCCACTGCACCCGGCCAAGGCATACTAAATGTTTGCTGGGATTTTATTTATGTTATTCAACGTCTCTAAGCATCAGTCCTTTCCTCATCTTTAAAAAGAGATAAAAATACATGTTATGAGACTCTCAGAGTGTATGAAAATGCTCTGAAAAGTATAAAGAACTCTTAAAAAGGAAGATCATATCTCATAAACTAGTAAGGAATACACACATCCATTTGTGAAAGAGACAGTATGTAAATAAGACGAGGCCAGAAGCAGTGGCTCACACCTATAACCCTAGCACTTTGGGAGGCCAAGATGGGAAAATTGCTTGAGGCCAAGAGTTTAAGAGCAGTCTGGTCAACATAGCGAGACCCCATTTCTTTAAAAAAAAAAAAAAAAAAAAAGGGAAGGAAGAAAAGAGGTAAGATGTTGAGAGAATTCCATTCAATTCAACCAGTCATTATGAAAAAAGAGCCAGTTACTAAATGATCTAAATCACGTAATCACCAAGCCTTGGGGTAATCCAGTAAGGGACACTACATAAACTCACATCCAAAATTAAGGGGGCACTATTTACATTTACTCTGGGACAAAAGTATCATCTAGATGCTGCCTGGCAAACAGAATGCACAGCCATCCCCACAAGTGTAGCCACAGTGGCTGAGCCTGGGCTCGGAGACCAATTGACGGCAACCATTTCCAAAATCCACACTTAGAACTTGGTGACCTGGGAGACATCATTAAACTTGCTCTGTCTTGGTTTTCTCATCTGTAAAATGGGGATAACGGACCCATGCCTTGATGCTGATGTGACATTGCATATGGAGCATTCAGAATAGTGCCTGGCATTAGCAAGAGCTCAATAAAGTTAGTGGTCATTCCACATCTACGCCAGTCATACACACACACACACTCTAAATTCCAACAAGTCTACAGACTTTCTAGTGTGATCCCACAAGCCCCACCGGCAGGCATGGCCCAGCACTTGCAAATGAATCTCCACGAGGCGTGGCAATCTTTTCTTTGAAACCTGCTCCTTCACACTCCCATTTCTGCCTCCCCATCCTGGTTTCTGAACTCATTTTGGCATGCAGGGCTGCAGTGCCAGTCTGGAATCTTGCAATGCCTTGTCAGGAAATACAGCAAAATCCTTTGTTATCAGAGCAGGAGACAGAATGACTGGATGATTAACTTCCTATAGTAGTGGTCTTTCCCTGTGAGTACGGCTGTGTCCATCTGATAGAGGGGCCACTATTTTACTTCTAATTTTTAAACTTTTGTATATGAAAATAATAATGTGTTAACATCATCTTAAATGCAAGCTGTGCAAACATGTTCCTGAATACATTTCCTCTTGTCACATTCTGTCCTAAACGAAACCCTAAGTTATTACAGCTCAACAGAAAAAGATTACAAGTACACACTAAACTACTTTCTGTTGAACTTGGAATCATGATAATGGTTATCCTGATTATAAAAAACAACAGCTATAACAGTTAATTTTTATTCACTGCATACTAAGTGCTAGGCATTTTTCTAAGCACATTATGGTCATTTTATCCCTAACAAATCGGTGAAGTAGGTACTATTATTATTATTATTTTTTTGAGATGGAGTTTCACTCTTGTTGCCCAGGCTGGAGTACAGTGGCGCGATCTCGGCTCACCGCAACCTCTGTCTCCCGGGTTCAAGAGATTCTTCTGCCTCAGCCTCCCGAGTAGCTGGGATTACAGGCGCCTGCCACCATGCCTGGCTAATTTTTTGCATTTTTAGTACAGAAGGGTTTCATCATATTATCCAGGCTGGTCTCAAATTCCTGACCTCAGGTGATCCACCCACCTCAGCCTCCCAAAGTGCTAGGATTACAGGCGTGAGCCACCGTGCCTGGCTTGCTTTTATTTTTAGTTGACACACAATTGTGCATATTTATGGGGTAAAGTGTGATATTTTGATACATGTATACAATGTATAATGATCAATTTAGGGTAATTAGCATATCCATCACCTCAAACACTTATCATTTTTTTGTGTTGGGAACACTGAAAATCCACTTTCCTAGCTATTTGAAAATATACAACATACTGTCAATTACAGTCACCCTACAGTGCTACAGAAAACTAGAACTTATTCCTCCAATTTAGCTGTAATTTTGTATCCATTAACCAACCTCTCGTTATTCCCCCTGGCCTCCCCTTTCCAGCCCCTAGTAACCACTATTCTACTTTCTACTTCCATGAGATCAACTTTTTTAGCTTCCACATATGTCAGAATATGGTATTTGTGCCATTTTTGAGCAAGCTGCACCATGCAGTTTTATTTAATTAAAACTCGTACATCTTTTTTTTTTTTTTTTTTTTTTTTTGAGACAGAGTCTCGCTCTGTTGCCTAGGCTGGAGTACAGGGGAGCAATCTCGGCTCACTGCAAGCTTTACCTCCCAGATTCAAGTAATTCTCACCCCTTGGCCTCCTGAGTAGCTGGGATTACAGACGTGTGCCACCATGCCCAGCTAATTTTTGTGTTTTAGTAGAGAGGGGGTAGAGATGGGTACAAACGGGGTAGAGACCAGGTAGAGAAGGGGTTTTGTCACGTTGCCCAGGCTAGTCTTGAACTCCTTGCCTCAAGTGATCCACTCACCTTGGCCTTCCAAAATGCTGGAATTATAGTTGTGAGCCACCGTACCTAAACAAAATCCTTATACATCCTTTTTTTTCCTTTGAGATAGTCTCACTCTGTTGCCCAAGCTGGAGTGTAGTGGTGCAATCTTGATTCACTGCAACCTCCACCTCCCAAATTCAAGCGATTCTCCTGCATTAGTCTCCCAAGTAGCTGGGGTTACCGGTGTGCGTGACCGTGCCTTTTTAGTAGAGATGGGGTTTTGCCATGTTGGCCAGGCTGGTCTCAAACTCCTGACCTCAGGTGATCTGCCCGCCTTGGCTTCCCAAAGTACTGGGATTACAGGCATGAGCCACCGTGCCTGGCCAAAAACCTCATACATCTTAACAGACACAGGTTGTTGTTGTTTTTCTTCAGCCCAGTTTACTAAAGCTATACAGACTTTAAACAACCTGTACATCAGAACCATCTGACCCTCATAATGCAACAAATCCCCTCCAGAAGGAAATCACCCAGGCTGTTCTGGGACCAGCCACCTTACTTGTTAATGTTGCTGCCTTCTTTCAGTCGCTCTCCTGCAGCTCCTGTTTTAGATACTCTTTCGCTACCCGCCAGGTCTACCAAGCTGACCTTACTGACTTTCTCCCCGGAATTCTAGTTATAGGAAACGAGAGAGAGAAGAAAAACTTATCAATAAAAACCACATGGATATCTACATATATGTTAGCACTATAATTGAGCAATCCATCCCACTCTCATATGGCAAATTTCTTAAGTTTTTAAACGGTCAGAAGAGTTATTTGAACCAGCAATTAATTTCATAGTTAACATTTAAATAGGCGTAGAAATGTAGCATTTTGTTTTGCAGCTGGGTAGCAAGTACACCCAGCTTTCTGGAATACAGTCAGAAAGCTGGAGATTTAAAATGCCTATGAGGAGATATGAGGACATGAGGATTTCTGCACATTCAAGTCAAATCCTTCTTCCTTTGAAAAAAGGTTTAGGCTAAAGGTTGTGGTGTCCTCTTTAATATCCCTCAATGGCTATGAAGCTGACATGTTTCCATGGGAATTTCAGCATGAAAGGATATATATTAAAAGCTGTATGGTGATGTCATCACACTTGTTAGGGACTTTGCACAAGAAATACAATTATTTTTCTTTTTTGTTTTTGTAGAGTCTGGGTGTTGCTATATTGTACAAGATGGTCATGAACTTCTGCCCTCAAGCAATCCTCCCGCCTCAGACTCCCAAAATGCTGGAATTACAGGCAGGAGCCACTGCACCAGGCCAAAATCCAATTTTTTAAAAAGTCAAATATAAAGAAAGACCTAACAAATTAAATGATAAGCAAAGTAGCTCACCTAGTAAGCAGAAGAGCCAACATACAATTCTCAGCCACTGAACCCAACCATGAAAGACTTTACCTATATGGACACTTTCAGTTCTTCCACCCCCACTCCAAAAAGGTTCTGCCTAATCCCTTACCCCAGACTGCAGGTCATAAAGTGTCTGTGTGATTATGATGTTGAACACAGCATGGGAGCGGCTGCTTTCTTCGTTCATGTTGGTAGCAGCTACCGTTCGAGACTTATTTCCCTCAGACATCAATGACTCAATATCCTAGGGGCAAAGCATAAGGAAAAGACCATAAGCAAAAACACAAGAATGTAGTCCTGCACACCAGGTATATGTATTAATTATGATTCCTCTGATGCCTTTGTCACCACCCTTCCATAGAAACCTCCCTGCCGCTCCTCCATTGAGCATGGTTTGAGCTTCCACCTCACTCAAGACTTTGTAATGTATGAAATGTTTCCCTAATTCTTTCCATTTCCCAATTGTCTTCTTTCTCAGTTGAGTCCCTATTTTCTCCTTTTTGGGTTCCTGGGATAGCTAATATTTATTGAGCACTCCGATAATCAATAATAGCAGTGACTTGATTTAACTCTTACTCTCCTGTGCTTACCAACCCGCTGATGCCTGCCTGTCTGCCTCCCTCCTCCAATACTGTGGCTCCCTGATGGCAGGGTTTTTTCCTTATTCCACTTTGTACACTTGCTCCTAGAATGCCTAGAGCCTATGGGATCTTATGAAATATTTGCTAAATGAACTTTATTTTCTTGCTTTTACATACAAGGATGCTGAAGTTCGTGGAGGTCAAGCAACTTTCCCCAAATCCAGTAAGAGGTAGAGCTGGGATGCAAATAGAGCACCCTGGCTCCTACTAGTAAGTGACAGGATAACATCAACACTTACCTCAACCACACTGAGCTAAGAACCAGGGACCTCAGTGAAGGAGCTGAGTTAGCACCTTTAGACCAAAAAAGTATCCATTCATTTCAGAATCGAAACCTTTTTAAAATGATCACTGTGCTCTATTTCCGATTAGAGCAATTCTATATATACCTTGATTTAAATGGCTGGAGAGAATCACTGCACAGATTAGTTTTAGCCATACTAAGTCTGGGGTGATAATGGGCCAGCCACATCCCACAAACAGCACAAAGTAAGTGCAGGGATTTGCTTGTTTCTCTGTGCATTCACTCATTCATTCACATCCTTTAGCAACAGAGATAGCAGTTTGTGTTATGAGATTTCCAAAGCAATCACTATAGAAATAGAAGCAGAATCTTGAGTCAGATCTTAACAAGGCATATAAGTCAAAGAGTAAATAAAGTAAAACAGGCCGGTCAATGGCAAGAGGAGTGATTCAGAAAAACAGGAGAGCCAGAAGTGACAGAAACCAAGGCAGGAGACCCTGCCAAAAAGAAAGGGCTGTACTAACTGCCAAATACTGTTTAGAATACCACATGTCTAGAAGGATGTCACTGGCATCATTGGGAGAACAGTTTTAACAGAGTAGTATTAGTGAAAATATGCAGCAACCTGAAAACACTGGGCCTCCCGGCCATACTGTAAAACCTTCACAACAAAGCAGCTTGAAGAGTGTGATTAAAAGCCCTTTTCCTCTCTGTTTGCGGTGTGCTGATACTGGGTTTCTGAGGCCCTGAGTAGTATCATTCTGCTATAAAGCATCCACATAAAATATACTCAGTATCACTTACATACTTTGATTTATAGTCAGCTTTTAATCACATTTTAAAAAAAATGACTTACCTCAAAACTAGTGACAGCTAGTTGAGATAAACCATCTACATATGGTCCCAAAACTTTATGTTCTCGAACTTTAAGAGACTGTCTACTCCTGCGGGAGGGAGGAAAAAGGAATAAATGAATCACACCAAAGCTGGAAGCTTTTCTTTCTCTTTAAGTACACAGTAACTAAGATAACAATTTCAAAAGAATTTTTAAATGACTCCTCCCCCCAACAAATCTAAAAGCTACTTTATTTGGATTAGCAAAACAATGTTTAACATGAGAAATGTGTTTTATGCTCTGATTTCTATTTAAAGTATGTTACTATTTTAAACATTCTATCTCTAGTCACAAACCTTCCTGGGTTAGGCTGTCAGTTATACTTTGGGGAGGATTGGGGGAAAAAGGGAACCAAAAAACATGCCAGATCAAATCAACCTTTCGGCTATTTCATAAATAAGCATATTCTCAGCAGATAATGTCTTAAAATGGTATTTATTTTTTGAGACAGGGTCTCACTCTGTCGCCCAGGCTAGAGTGCAGTAGCATGACCCCGGCTTACTATAGCCTCAACCTCCCGCCCAGGTGATTCTCCTACCTCAGTCACCCACGCAGCTGGGACTACAGGCCCATGCCACTATGCCTGGCTAGTTTTTATATTTTTTGTAGAGATGTGGCTTCACTATTCTGCCCAAGCTGGTCCTGAATTTCTAGGCTCAAGCAATCCTCCAGCCTCAGCCTCCCAAAATGCTGGGATTGCAGATGTGAGCCACCACCGCCCAGTCAAAATTTTTGAATTACTAGTAGACAGTATTAAAACATTTAAACTCTACTTCAAGTCTGCATTGGTTTATGCTACTTCTATGCTTACACTATTTTATACAGAAAGTGAGATTATAGTACAGAGTTTGTTTATAATTACTGACGTTTGTACTATATTTAGAATTGGTTCTGCTAATGAAAATTTTAAAGCTCTTTTGAATTTTTAAATGATAAACCTGGTTTGGAACCCATTTCAACAGTTTATCAAAAGACAATGGAGATTAAAAGCAAAGCTATGTATATACTGACCATATTGTGCACACCATCTTTTTCAGGGCATCACATATTAATCATCTTTCAAATTAAGAGTCATTGCTTAGCATCACCAATATATGGGAAAAAGGAGCTAAGAAGCATCACTGAATGCATCCCAAAGTCCTGGCATTGTTCCCTGAAGCACTTTTCAGTTATGCCGTTTCATTTCATAACATCCCTACAAAGTAGGCTTTACCACCTTTATTTTAAAGACGAAGAATTCAATGTGACAGTGAGCTACTTAGATGCACACGATCCAGTACACAGCTTACTCTGCTTGCCAGAGATTCTATAATGCTATTCAGCAGCAAGAAAAAGCAAACCTAGCATTATACCAAGTGCCTGTGATGGTGTCCAGTATCTGAAATTCTTGTACACTGCTGGTGGGGGTGGAAATTGGTACAACCACTTTGGATAACAGTTTGCGCAATTAAATAAAATTGGAGATTCAGTATTTTGTGACTTACAATTCCACCCCTAGATGTGTTACCTAGAAACTCCTGCACCTACCTATACAGCAGGAAACCTGTATAACAATGCTTTCAGAGCAGCACTCTATTGATAAAAGCAGGAACCACACAAAAGACAGAGAAAGTGATGAATTATTGATGTAACCATGCAATGAAATGCTAAGACAACAGTAAAAATGTATTAGCACTTCATATATAAGAATAAATGAATCACGGTGGGGGGAACAAATCACCAAAGAACACATATATTATGATGTCATACAAAGTTAAAAATTATGCAAAATTATTTGTAAATGCTAAAGAAGAGGAAGAGAATGCTAAACACAAAATTCACAATAGTAGTTACCTTGGGGAGGGGTAGAAAATGGATCCAAGGGGAACGTATAGTGAGCTTCACAATTATTGGTCATGTTCCATTTATTTATTTATTTATTTATTTAATTTTAGCTAGAGTACTTTTGACTAAGTCATGTTCCATTTATTAAGCCAATGTAGGTAGGCAGTTGTTTTTATTACTCTTTATGCCTTACAGGTGTTATAAATGTTATTTTGTATGCATTAAATAGTTAACAGCTTCTTAAGAGTAAATATAAACATTTTCTTTGATTGGGTCACTTCCTTGTCACTCATAATTTTGGTCAAAATGCACCAAAGTGTAACAGTGGTTATTATTATTGAGATGCAGTCTCACTCTACTGCCCAGGCTGGAATGTGGTGGCATGATCTTGGCTCACTGCAACCTCTGTCTCCTGGGTTCAAGCAATTCTCCTGCCTCAGCCACCTGAGTAGCTGGGATTACAGGTGCCCAGCACCACGCCCAGCTAATTTTTCTATTTTAGTAGAGACGGTGTTTCACCATGTTGACCAGGCTGGTCTCGAACTCCTGACCTCAAGTGATCCACCCACCTTGGCCTCCCAAAATGTTGGAATTACAGGCATGAGCCACTACACCTGGCCTTAGTGATTATTTTTGAATGGTGAGATTATAGGTCATTTTTATTTCTTCTTACACCTTACCTATTTTTCAAATTTTCCATAAATAGATACTAGTTTTAAATCAGTATAATTTTTTTTTTTTTTTTTTTTTTTTTTTGAGCTGGAGTCTCCCTCTGTTCCCCAGGCTGGAGTGCAGTGGCGTGATCTCAACTCACTGCAACCTCTGCCTCCTGGGTTCAAGTGATTCTCCTGCAGCCTCTCAAGAAGCTGGGATTACAGATGCCCATCGCCACACCTGGGTAATTTTTGTATTTTTAGTAGAGATGGGGTTTTGTCATGTTGGTCAGGCTGGTCTCGAACTCCTGACCTCAGATGATCTGCTCACCTTGGCCTCCCAAAGTGCTGGGATTACAGGTATGAGTCACTGTACCCGGCCCCAAATTTTTTAATTGAGAAAAAGTAAATGGCCCCCCTTCCTCTATGAATCAGATAAATATATTTTTAAATCACCTAGTTAAAAAAAATATAGATCCCTGGGTTTCACCCTGGGTCTACTGAATACAGTCTCTATGGGTGGACATCAGGCAAGTGGATGCTTAAAACGTTCCCCACATGATTCCAATGCACAGCCAGGGAAGGGCATTGCTTGCCTTGGCTGGGATGTTTCAATCCTTCAACCCTTTTACCCTTAACACATTAGTGCCACTTTCCAATGTAAATGGAAGAACTAATGTGTTATTCCTAACTCAATTTTTGTGAATAGTTCATGGTGGCAAAAAAAAATACCAATAGTAAAAACATCTTTTCAAAGGGCATACATAGGCAACTTTATACATTAATGTAGGATAAACACTGGGTATACCAAAAGGCTTTGAGAAGCTGATGATTTTTCTGTAAATGAATGAAAACCAGTGTAGTCACCAAGAGCTTAAATACGTATATTCACTTCCAATTTTAACTTTAGAATCATTTAAAATTATCTCCCCCTATTAACACACTTAATCTTGACCACTAACTTACCCTTTGGGGTCTAAAAGATCCCGAACTTTCTCATTATAAATTTCCATATAGGACACTTCAACTTTAAAGGTCTGTGACTCATTTTGCTCCAAAGAGATCCTTTTAAATAAAGCACAGCAGAGCCTTGGAATAAGGCCCAGCTGCTCAGCATGGCCCATCATGGAAAAGGATTTTCCCGAACCTGGAGAACAGCAAGGAAAAAGAAGAACAGGTAGAGGAGGGAGCAAAATGCAATGCTTCAACCATACAAGGTTTCCCCATATACTGGCCATGGTAACATAGCAGAAGAGTGGCCAACTTAGCCTCAAACCCTGTTGCTCAGGCTGGAGTGCAGTGGTGTGATCATGGCTCACTACAGTCTCAAACTCCTGGGCTCAAGCCATCCTCCCACCTCAGTCTCCCAAGAAGCTGGGACTACAGGTGTGCCACCACGCTGGGCTAATGTTTTTAGTTTTTATAAAGACGGGTCTTACTATGTTGCCCAGGCTGGTCTCAAACTCCTGGGCTCAGGAGATCCTCCCACCCCAGCCTCACCAAGTCCTGGGATTATAGGCATGATCCCCCACATCTGGTCTATAAAAGCAACTTCTTACCTGTCTGTCCATATGCAAAAATACACGCATTATACCCCTGAAAGGCTTTTTCAAGAATTCCTTCCCCAAGGCACTTGAAAACCACTTCTTGACCTAAAAAACAAGACAAATATTAAAAACTAATAAAAAGAATAATTTTTCTTGACATATTTGTGTTAGTAACAATATTATGTCAATTCAAAAAAATGTTAAAAGTGTAGTACCGAGTGCCCACTAAGTACAGGGCTGTGTATTAAGAGCTTGATATATGCAATTTCATCCACACTTCTAAACTACAGCTCAGTACCTGGATACACTGTTTCCCTCTAAGACACTTCTCTAGATATTAAAGTTTTCTTTCCATTGTGAGTGGGCCATATGGAAGCAGCATTCAAATTTGGTTGTTTTTTCTTATGACTAATATCTACAATGTCATTAAACATGAATTGCCTTATCTCCCCAGCTAGATTCTGAACTGCCACTGAACAAGACCATGTTATACACACCTTGGTATCTCCCTCAGCACCTAGCTTGGTGTTTTGTACATGCCAAGTGCTAAAAACCGTTAGTTGCTGAGGATGGATTGACAACTTCAGCTGCTGTTTGTAGATTCACAGGCACCCGTCACCTGTGTCCCCACAGCGGGAGTGGGGGACAAGTTCTCTTTTGTGAATCTCTGTATCACACTGCAGCTCTTGGGGGCATTGTGTCATGTACTATACTATGGCAGAGCGGGGCTGAAGAGTAAAGGAGTGACAATCTGTTTTAAACACATAAAAGGACAGCATTTGCTACCCTTTGAATTTGGTGATTTTCTAATATTCATTCTGTATCACTAAGACAATTAGACTTATGTTCTCCTTCCTGTCTTCTTATAGTCCTTAGAACATTCACTATTACAGCATTTGCAGAAACTACTAGTTTAAGTACCTGTTTCCTCCACTGGCATGAGAGCTCCCTGATGCCCAAAACTATAACCTGCTTATCTTCATAATCCTAGAGCCTAGTACAAAATGCTTAATAAATGTTGAAAGAATGAGTCAATTTAACATTTTTATCTTACATGATAGTTCCTTTTACATTTGAAAATAATGTAACACAACATGAGCTTTTGGTTTTATGTTTTTCTTTTATGGAAATTTAGATCTGATTTTAGGAGTCTCTTATTATACTATGATATATGATGACTGCAGGATGAGACTCTTAAAAGTGTTTCAACACAAAACGAGATAGTATTTGTGATATGGTTTAGTTCTGTGTCCCCACCCAAATCTCATCTTGAATTGTAATCCCCACGTGTCAAGGGAGGGACCTGTTGGGAGACGATTGGATCATGGGGGCAGTTTCCCCTATGCTGTTCTCATGATAGTGAGTTCTTACAAGATCTGATGGTTTAAAAGTGTGTGGCTTCCTTTGAGTTCTTTTCTCTCTCTCTCGCTGCCATGTAAGACGTGCCTTCCTTCCCCTTCACCTTCCACCATGATTCTAAGTTTCCCGAGGCCTCCCCAGTCATGCGGAACTGTGAGTCAATTAAACCTCCTTTCTTTACAAATTAGCCTGCCTCATGTAGTTCTTTACAACAGTGTAAAAACAGACCATACAATTTGCAACCATTAGGCTGGCAAAAAATAAAATTCTGACAACATCAAATATTGCTGCATTGAGGAAATAGGTATTTTCATAAGCTGCATATGGTGGGAGAATAAACGCATACAGACATTCTGAAGGAAAACTTGACAGCATCTATAAAAGGGAATATGCCTACACTGCCTGACCCACTGTGAAGCATCTACTCTAGAAACACATTCCCAAAAAGGACCCTGTGAAGGATGTTCATGGCAGTGTTATTCATAATACTGCAAATGGGAATCAAGTTAAATGCCCGTAAGTATGAAAGTAAGTAAAGTGTGACTGTTTTATATGATGGAATATACTACATAACATTTTTAAAAACAATAAACCCCCAACACCCACATCTATGTGTAAATAATGCTCAAATTAAAAAACATTAAGTGAAAAAAAAGCCATGTTCAGAACTGTGCATATAATGTAAAACCTTATGTCAAATAGTTATGTGTGTGTGTGTGTGTGTGTGTGTGTGTGTGCATGCACGCATGTGTGTGTGTGTGTGTGAGAGAGAGAGATCTACAAATGCTAAAGTGTAAAAAATGGATTGGAAAAAATATACCAAATTTATGTAACTTTATTTCTCTATTGCTAACTTCTACCATCTAGCATAGATGTTTGGTAACTTCCACCAAACAAGTTGGTGGAATATGTGGATTTTTTAAAATGGGTGTAATCAGAAGAAACTTTTCTAAACACCCAGGTCTGTTGTGAAGAGTACCTTAAGATCTGTATGCAAATACGTGTATATTCAGAGAAGAATAAGGTATAATCAAAATTATTATCTGCTTCACAAATTGCTTTTATGTTATAGTCAAGTATGATAGTCTTGTGCTCACGAAGAAAATACCTGACCACTCTGGTGCATGATCTTTCATACACATTAATATTTATTTCTCATATGTTTTCTCAAAGGACCTTCCTTATTCCACGTATGTTCCCAAGCCCCTTGCTAAAAGGTAGGCCTTAAATCTGGAGCCAAGGCCTATATCAGAGAAGACCCAGAATTAAATCCAGCCTGTGCCCAGGCTTATTAGGATTGCTTGTGGTCCTCAGCCAGACCTAAGTGCCATTTGAAGGCATTCTAAAAGCAATACATTCTTGGCACAAGCAGCTGATTGGAGCAATCCTGTTTGATCTTCCACACTGGTTAACCAGCCCCCAGGAAGGGAGTGGGGTGAGGGTGGGGACAAGAGACTTCAAGAGTTGGCTAAGTCAAGCATCCTGACCATAATTCATGATTTCAATTCATATTTAGTAACTTGAAAAAAAGCCCAACAGCTTGAGTTGATGAAAGGACTCAATTGCAGAGAAGTACTGTGGTCAAAGAGATTTTATTATGGCTTCTGAGAGCCTAAAGTTAATACCTAGTATATCTATTCCTGTATCAGGTAGTAAAATGTGGTACTTCTGGTTTCTGCTCCTGATGCTGAATACGCTGGAATTAGGAGGAATTATTTTCCTAGGTTCTTTCAAGAGTAAATCACAATGTGTCTTTTTCCTTGGTAGGAATGGCCTTTTAAACTAAAGATTGTTAGTTGGAAAAACAAGGATGACTGCTATATAGTTGTATGAAGTAGGTTTATGATGTAAATGAAACAAACCACCAGGATGTGTATACTAAAATTGCAAGAAAAATAAATGAAATGATCAAAGAACTCCCCAGCATATAAAAATACAAGAGTAGGCCAAGCATGGTGGCTCACACCTGTAATCTCAGCACTCTGGGAGGCCGAGGTGGGAGGGTGGCTTGAGGAGAGGAGTTCAAGACCAGCCTGGCCAACAAAGTGAGACTCTGTTTCTACAAAAAATGTAAAAAAAAAAACCAAAAAAACAAGAGTAAATTTTAGTTTAGTGTATGACCAAATTGTTGCAAATACTAAACAGGACATGATTTAACCTATTAAACTTGTATTCTTTTATTATTTATGCTACTAAGGAAAAGCAAAGATAATTTTTATCAACTGTCCTGCTGGCAATGTATTTTATATATATATATATATATTTTTTTTTTTTTTTTGAGACGAGTCTTGCCCTGTCACCCAGGGTGGAGTGCAATGGTGCGATCTCGGCTCACTGCAACCTCCACCTCTCGTGTTCAAGTGATTCTCCTGCCTCCGCCTCCTGAGTAGCTGGGATTACAGGTATGCAACACCAAGCCCGGCCAATTTTTTCTATCTTTAGTAGAGACGAGGTTTCACCATATTGGCCAGGCTGGTCTCGAACTCCTGACCTCGTGATCCACCCGCCTTGGCCTCCCAAAGTGCTGGGATTACATGTTCTATATTATTGAATCCTCACAATACCCAGGTAGAGTAGGTATGAATTATGACTGATAAGCTGACTGGGGCTTGAAATGGTTAAGTCACTTGCCCAAGATCTCATTATCAGTGAATGGCAGGGTTTGGGTCAGCTTATAGTGACTCCCTACTGTCAAGGCTGATTCCATTCATCATCAGTAATTCATGCTGCATGACACTGGCAATCAGTTGCTCTCACCTCTGGTCTCCAGGATAATTTTTACAGACTGTCAGAACTCATTACACTGCACAATTTTTTTTTCTTTCCTTCTGAGATGGAGTCTTGTTCTGTCGCCCAGGCTGGAGTGCAGTGGTACAATCTCAGCTCACTGCAACCTCTGCCATCTGGGTTCAAGCGATTCTCCTGCCTCAGCCTCCTAAGTAGCTGGGATTATAGGGGCCCACCACCAAGTCCAGCTACTTTTTGTATTTTTAGTAGAGACAGGGTTTCACCATGTTGGCCAGGCTGGTCTCGAACTCCTGACCCTAGGTGATCTGCCTGCCTTGGCCTCCCAAAGTGCTGGGATTACGTGTGAGCCACTGTGCCTGGCTGGCACAATTTTTTTTTCATGTTCACCTTTACTGCCAGATTGTGAAAACAGTAATTGCTGCATCTTAGTAGAATGCCTGGCACACAATAGGCATCTGTATTCACTGAATTATTCCTGTGTTGATACTGCTGTTTTCAGAAAAATGTATTTTTAATTGGGAGCCTCTTCCCTCATCAGTGACAATAAGTTATCAGAAGACTGTTGTACTCCAGCCTGGGTGACAGAGTGAGACTCTGTCTCAAAAAAAAAAAAAAATTATTCTTTGAACTTAAAAATAAATGTTTAATTGTATTAGTTTACACTTTGGTCAAAGTATGACTGTTTTTGAAATTCTAATGAATCCCATAAGACTACAGTAGGCCTTTGTTAAATAAGCCAATGGGGTATGAATAAATGCGTCAACACACTATGTAGGTACTAATTAGGTAATTTTGATAAAAATTACAAATCACTTTTTTACTAATACCCACCGTATCCTCCTGGACATTACAACAAAATATATGTGACAAAAAAATAAAAACTAGTCTCTCTGATTTCCACTAAATATATACATGTGATTTCAAATATAGTCAACTTCTTTTAGTTACAGTTATTTTTGGCAGATAAAATAGAATTCAAATTTATCATATTTAGTAAAGTTTTATTCATAATTGGAAAAGAAAAAATCTGAGAAAAACAACATAAAAAATTGAAAATGATTATACTACGTTTCTGAAAAAATTTTTCATTCTCCATGTATTTTTACAAATTTACACAAGATTGGAGTCTAGAGAGACTGGAATACATTTTATTACTATGGCTTTGTGTCTCAAAGACAATGCATTCTGTTTTAAGACAAGAAATAATGAACATTTTCCCATCTCTACAAATATACATCAACATTAGCATTTTTAACAGGAGCTCAGCTTTCCATTGTATGAATAATGGATGCAATCAGTTCCCTACTATGGATATTTAGATTATTTCCTTTTATTTTTCTGCAATGTTTATTCTTACATGTTTACCTCTGTGCAGTTTCCTATTGACTTTACTAGGCAAAACTTCAAAAAATCAAATCTCCAAGTTCTCTAAAAATGCATTGGTCTCTACTTACAACACTCTCAACAACAATCCCTGTGATCATTCTTCTTAGTTCTGACTGAGTCAGTAGGAAAGAAAAGCCTCTTGTTTGGATAATTTTTCTTCTATTTATTGTTCATTTGTATTAACACTTTAGTAAGTTGACTATTTAAGTCCTTGCGCTAGCCATTGCTTTTCTTCTCATTAATTTTAAAATCCTCATTACATATTGAGGATATTAACCACTGGTCTATCTTATATGTTATAAATATTTTTTCCCAGTCTGTCATCTGCCTATCGGTCTTACCTTATTCTTGGTCATACGAAAGCTCCTGGTCTTTCATATTCAAATCTTTTCTCTTTTCCTTCATGATTTCTGCCTATGATATGTGCTATGCCTCACAAATCCTTTTTCACCCCCAAATTATATAGAACTCACCCATATTTTCTTCTAGTTTTATTTTTGTTATTATTTATTTTAGTTATTTTGGAGACAGGATCTCGCTTTGTGTCCAGGCTGGAGTGTGGTGGCGGGATCACAGCTTATGGCAGCTTCAAATGACTGGGCTCAGGTAATCCTCCTGCATCAGCCTCCCAAACAACTGGGATTATAGATGTGCACCACCACTGTTTTTACAATTTGACTTTCAAACCTGAGTTTTACTTCTTACCAGCTATGTGACACTGGGAAGGTTCCCAGTTTATCGGTAAAATAAGACTAATAGTTGCTACCTAAGTGGGCTACTGGGATGGTTTAATAAACCAATATAGGTAAAGTACTTACCATAGTGCGTGGCCAGTATAAATCTAGAATATATTTTAGTTATTATCTATTATTATCATCTCTTAAGTCTTTAATCAACTATAATTCATTTTACTGCAAAGAAAAATTATCTAGTTATTTTTCCTTCAGATGGCTCCTTCATTTTTGCAACAATTTTGTGGCATAATCCAATTTCAAAGATAAAAGGAAAAAGGTCAGGTGTGGTGGCTCATGCCTGCAATCCCAACAGTTTGGGAGGCTGAGGTGGGAGGATCTCTTGAGGGCAGGAGCTCAAGACCAGCCCAGGCAAAATAGTGAGACCCCTATCTCTACAAAAAATAAAAAATTAGCCAGGTATGAGCCGGGCATGGTGGTTCATACCTGTAATCCCAGCACTTTGGGAGGCCAAGGTGGGTGAATCACGAGGTCAGGAGATTGAGACCAACCTGGCTAACATGGTGAAATCCCATCTCTACTAAAAATATAAAAAATTAGCTGGGCATGGTGGCGGGTGCCTGTAGTCCCAGCTACTCGGGAGGCTGAGGCAGGAGAATGGCGTGAACCCGGGAGGTGGATGTCGCAGTGAGCCGAAATCGCGCCACTGCACTCCAGCTCAGGCGACAGAGCGAGACTGCGTCTCAAAAACAAACAAACAAACAAACAAACAAAAAAACAAAATTAGCCAGGCATGGTGGTGGAGGATTGTTTGAGCCTAGGAGGTTGAGGCTAGAGTGAGCCACGATCGTGCCACTGCACTCCAGCCTGAACGACAGAGCAAGACCCCATCTCTTAAAACAAAACATTAAAAAGAAAAGATACTTGTTCTTAGAAAGATTTCTGAAAGGAACCAATTATCGCTATTTTTCTAGCTCCCACAGAGGTCCCATTTAAAAAATATTACCGACCAAATATGATGGTGGTGACTCTCACATTTAAGGGGGTGGAGGACAGAAAGGGTGGGGTGTGTGTTTGTGTGTGCATGGACATGATGAGATGAAGGAACAGTATCATTACTGGGGCCAGGGTATGCTAATCCATATTGTCTATTATAAGAAAAATACTTTCTTTTTTTTTTTTTAACACTGAGAAGGGTACAGGGAAAAAAAAAACCCAATATAAAAAACTATATCAGCAAAACTGTGAGTGGGACAGGTTCTAGAGTTCCCCTTATTCTGCCCTTCTGGTGCCTTTTCAGCTGTGTGAACTCGTGGCCGGAGTTATACTTAACCAATTCTTCGGTTTGGTGACCTTCAGGGCACCACTGGTATAGGAAAAAGAACGATAAAAAAGGCCAAATTGTCAACCAAAGCCTAAAAAGGCACTATGACTGTTGATACAGTCTCTGTCCTCTCTTGCAATCAGCTGTCAGTGAAACACAGATGATGGCTACACTTCATTCTGCAATAGAAAATATGAAATATCAAGAACCCTCATATGGTCTCTTGAAGAGACCCTAGTTTATCCAAAAGACCGAAGGATTTTTGTTTTTTTTGTTTTGTTTTGTTTTTGCTTTGTTCACTTCTATTTTTTAAACACAACAGTCCCTTTTCTCAGCATAGGAAAAGACGACTTGCCAACTGCTTTTTGAACCTCAGTTCATGAAAAAAGGAGCTGTTTACGCTGAGTGGTGGGAATCAGGGAATTCAAACAGTGCATGGGTGGATCCCATAAAAGACGCAATATCTCCACCCTAAACGTTTTCCGACTAGTTTACACTCAAATAGAATGAGGTGCTATTTGTCTAGGGGAAAGCATACCAGCCCATAAACGAAGGTTCGTTAAGTCCCGTGGGAAGCAGGAGGATCTATGAGTATTTGTTTCTATCCCAGACAATCCGAGCAGAGCCATAACATTGTCAAATCCAAGAGGCCTGTGACTTTTCAGCAGAACCGATGCCAAAAAGGCGGTGGCCACTCTGCAGATGTTAGCTCCACATGCCTGGTGCAGCAAATTCACAGGGCAAGCCTGACCTCACTTGTTAATAACCATGACCACAATGCCAATTTCCTCTGGGGTTTATGATTAGACCTTCTATAATCATGTGAACAAGTCTTAAAACACAGGCATGCCCAAAGTAACCCATAACACAATGTCAGAACAACAGAGAGAGCTCCTGTATGGAATTTCTACAAGCAAAGTCACAGACCTGAGTCACCCAACCCTGAGTCACATACGATATGAATCTTTTTCTTTTTTGAAAGAGATAGGGTCTTGCTCTTCCACCAGGCTAGAGTGCAGTGGTGTGATTATAGCTCACTACAGCCTCTAACTCCTCGAGGTTCAAGGAATCCTCCTGTTTCAGCCTCCTGAGTAGCTAGGACTACAGGTGTGTGCCACCACTTATGGCTAATTTTTTATTTTTATTTTTTAGTAGAGATAAGATCTTGCTATGTTGTCTGAGCTGATCTTGAGCTCCTAGCCTCAAGTGAGCCTCCCACCTTGGCCTCACAAAGTGCTGGAATTATAGTCATTGTACCCAGCCTGACAGAGATCTTTGAAAAGCTAACACCCTTGGGTGTCCACACTTGTGCATAATCTGTCCCTACTTAGAACAGCAGCAATAGGCTCAAAGCCACCATGTGTGTGTACTGGGAGATGGGTAACCAAGGCAAATCTCTTTCTATAGCAAGAAAGAAACCAGGGATGGAAGGAAAAATGCAGCTATCATTCCTACACCCAACATCTGATGACTGAAGAGGCACAGGATAAAAGAGTCACAGTGGGCTGTGTTCTAGAAAGTGAGAGAATGAAATGGGAGGATATACGCCCTATCTTGTTTAAAATCTGCATTAAACAAGGCAGACACCTATGGCCCATGGCTGAATAAAACACTAAGCATGGTGATGCACAGATCAGACCTGGCATATGCACAGAGTATTTCTTGTTTTTCTAAAGTAACTACATAGAAAAGCATCCAATATTTGAACACGATCAATAATTTCATCAGTTTAAACTGAGCCCCCAGTTTTCCTTCCTTTCCCTATCTCTTCTCTTTGGAATCAGAGTAGAGAGAGAGAGGAAAAAAAAAAAATAAAGGCTGGGCTCACTATTTATGACTTGGAATTCCTGGGCCTACTCATTTGTGAGGGTGTTTTTTCACTTCTAAACAGGGCTGACAGGCACAGCGATTTTGATGAGTCTGGACTTGGCAGGTGGCCCAGCTCCAAATCAGAGCACCTGGACAGCGCAAGACCAGACAGGTTCTTCTCACATACCTGAAGGGGTGAAGAATGCCCAGCTTGGATGAGGTTTAAATAAATTCCTTTCTCAAAAATCTTTGGTGTATGGAAGTGCAGCTTTCAAAAATTCTCATATGTAGTGATTTCAAACCTGGTTTAAGTTAAATGACCAAAAACTACAGAGTTCAGATAAAGAAACTGAAGCTGTAAGGCTTGACTTGGTATTGCTAGATTTAAGTTTTAATCAACTACAGAAAAGTCTACCATTGAGGTGCCTGGTAAGAAGATCCCAAGAAACCAGGCCATGAGGGTAATAGACCACGGACACATTTTCCACTGTAGCATTCAAAAGCTATCAGTGTTAGTCTGGAAGTCTGGCTTGCAGCATGGCACGGCTGACTCATCCAGATGGATGTTTCCACCACAGCAACAGCACTGGGGCTGGCCATGAGCATGGTCTTTTTTTGTTGCTGGACACAGTGGCTGATTCACCAAGGAGGAGGTCATGCAACCACTGCCCTGGGCACTGGTCTCGAGAATGAAGAAAGAATATAAAGCCACTCACCTGTGAAGAATGTCTTACAGAGAATGTGTGTTGGAGTCATACAGGAGGGTGTTTCCCATAAAATAACTGCTGACAAAGTAAACCTTCATTTCTATCTTATTTGATGGTGTTTTACACCCCCTCTCTCTGACAAAGAAGCAGACCCAACTCAACATCTCTTCTGGATTGTGGGCTGCACAATATTTATAGTATTTGAGGCGAGGTTAAAACAAAGCCCAAACCAAATATAAGGATCCTAGAGAACTTCTGACAGGAGTGAGGGTAACTTTAGTAGTATTCCTGGCTAGGTTCTAAGCCAGAGCACTTCAATATGACTTCCTTAGGAGTCATATTGAATGACTCTTCAGGATGAGAGAGGAGAGGAGCACCATAGGCTGGAGTAGAATCCATAAAATTTTCACCAGCATACATGTCATTAACTAACATCCACATTTACCAATGCTTTCAGTGCTCTCATAGGGAGCAGGGCTTCGCTAAACCTCAGTTTTCTTATCTGTAAAATGGGGGCAGTAATAGTTTCTACCTGACTGGGTGCTTTGACAATCTTATCACCTAGTGCATGTAGAGGGATCGGCACAGTGCTTGGGATTCAATGCTCAGGGTTGTACTATCTATTGCTATTGTTATTCACCCCTCTAAACACAAGTTAAATGATGTTTCTGGGTCCAACAAACACCCTAAGGAACAAATGTGGACAAAGAAAGGGAGGTATTGAAGAAAATGGGATTTGATAGGATAAAAAATAGGTGAGTAAAGGGGAGAACAAAAAAGCAGCGCATATATATATATATATATATATATATATATATATATATATATATATATTTACACACACACATATATATACACTTAAAAAAATTTAACACGATTAGCAAAGCTCATTTATTTTTTAACATCCTTTACAAGAAAAATTTTTCTTAACTGACCTTCTTATCCAATTCTCTGGATTACCCAACATTCTCTCTTCCATCTATGAAATGCCCCCTGCATGCTAAATCACCCCAGCTGGGAGGCTACTCTCTGGACTCTCACCAGCTGAGTTATGCTTGTACAAAGGGTCAGTTGTATTTGCTCCTAAACTGTTCTATGTCAGTTGTACTTCTCTGTAATTACATAATTTAATTAACAAATGCAAAAAAGAGGGCTGCTGATTCTAAGAAAACTCTAAATAGAATGCTTAGGAACAACTTGATAAAGGTGAGTCACCAAAAGAAATGACAAATTGAGTATGAGTGAGATAATTTATAAAAGACCATAAAAGAAAAACAAAAATCTGGGAGGATTTGGCATATTTTTTCATAAATGTTTTTTAAAATGGCATGCATCATTTATAATGAATCCCTACTTTAACAAACTGTTCAAGTAGCAACTACTAGCATTGCTCATAACTATAGGGAAAACTTTTATGGTTTAAACCCAATAGCTAACAATTATTGAGTGTTTCCTCTGTGCAAGGCACTTGCTGAGTGCTTCATATACATAATCTCATTTCAACCCACAAGATTTATAATAAGGAGGTGCTGTTATTATTGCCTACAGCCACACAGTTGGGAAGTGGCAGAGGCAGAATTTGAGCACAAGAAGTGTGACTCCAGAGCCTGTGCTTTTAACTACTAGAAAAAAGACTTCATTCAAACAGACCACCTGAATAGTAAAATAATGAACCAATACAATATGCTAGAACAAATTAATATTGTAGAACTCAGCTAAGAAATTGGTTCTATTTTGGCTACTGTTGGCTTTTAGAATGTAAATTTTGCTGCACAAATGTTTTGTCTCATTACGATTCTGGTTAGTTAAGTTAATATTTAGTTAAGCAATATGAAGCAGAAATCATTTCTAGCTCTGAGCACATAAAATCCCCCATGATGGGAACAGAATCAAACATGGCTGCTCTTCCCACTGCATTAGTCCACAGATTGGAGGTGCTCTTCTGTCCCCTCACAGTATAAAGCAATGCTAGCAGAATAAGAGGCAGATGTACAACCTTTCTCCTGAGTTGCAGGGCATTAACAATGCTCGAAGACACATGGCTTCAGCACATTTGAGCAACATGCCATATGGCAAGAACTGTTATATAATTTCTGAGTCAACAGTTTAGAATCTCTCAGGCCAGGGAATGTTCACATCCACACTGACCCCAGATATGCCACTACCAGACTGCTTTTTTTTTATTTTTGATATGAAGATTTCTGTAGAGCTGGGAAGAAAATAAAAACCAAAGTTACTGGAAGTCACTGTTATCTACTAACATGGCACATTTTAGAAATGTTAAAAAATGTATTGATTCATTGTCAAGAATGCTTTAATTGCAATCAGCAGTGACTTAAACATTTACAAAGACTGCTTTCAAGTTTATCAGTATTGACTATAATATACTAACTTATAATCTTAAATGTGGATCTGTGTACATCTGCATGTATATATGAAGTTCGGGAGAACATATGAGTTTATGTAGAAATGCCATGCTCCAGGTATCTAATTCTGCAGGTTATTTCTGTTTTTTTTTTTCATTAGCCCTTACACAGGGTTTTTGCTTCAAAATTCTTTTTGAAGCAAAAAAAAAATTTTTGCTTCAGAATTATCTGCCAGACAAACATTATTACAACTACCTAGCCAAAAGCTAATAGGAGGAAGAGATAATATATTTCAAATGTAAAATAATTCCTGGCTGGGCACAGTCGCTCATGCCTGTAATCTCAGCACTTTGGGATGCTGATCACTTGAGGTCAGGAGTTCAAGGCCAGCCTGGCCAACATGGTGAAACCCTGTCTCTACTAAAAAATACAAAAATTAGCCAGGTGTGGTGGCATATGTCTGTAATCCCAGCTACTCAGGAGGCTGAGGCAGGAGAATCGCTTGAACCCAAGGAGGCGGAGGTTGCAGTGAGCCGAGATCGTGCCACTGCACTCTGGGCGACAGAGGGAGACTCCCTCTCAAAAAAAAAAAAAAAAAAAAAAAAAAAAAAACACAAATAAATAAAATGTAAAATACCTCAAAGCATGATTCAATGCAATGTGAATGGCTTAACAAATAAGCCTTTAATTTGCCTCTGAAAAGTCCACTGGAACAGCTGTGTGGCCAACATAAAATGGCTGATTCATGTTTTATCAGAGAGCTGGAGGGGATCTGAGATCATTCCAGGCTGTATCTCCTCCTTTCACAGATGAAGAACAGAGACCCACAGAAATTATCCTGCCCAAGGTCTAGCAGTTTGTGGCAAAACCAGTTGTCATAAATCTCAGTACATTGCATTTTCTTTCCAAAGTGCTGACTCCTGTCACAATGAGACAATAATAAAGACAACGATAAACATTAAGGCAGTGCTTCCTCCTCCCTAAGTCGCCAGGTACTTACTGGATTAAGCACTTTAAATGAATACATTATTTAGCCCTCAGATCAACCCTATGAGATCAGAACTATTAGTATCCTTATTTACCATATGAGGAAACAGAAGGATCGTGAGATTCAGTAACTCACCCGGCCTTACACAGATAGAAGGTGTTAGAGCCAGGATTTGAACCAAGTCTGACTTAAGAGCCCATATTCTTCAACTGCTCCAACCAACCCACTACAATGCCATTATACCCCCACTAGAGAATTACGTGTTTCTAAATCAGAAAGTGGGAGCGTGGAGGCTCTTCCTATAGCTTTTAATAAATAGCAAGACATGATTGAGAATTTAACATTTTGACACACCACACAAAACTTAAGAGCCCTTGCTTCTCTTTGCTTTCTCAATCCATGCACTTATCTTTCTCTGTCTCTCTCCCTGCTACCCCCCAGTTTTGAGAGCGGCTTTGAGAGTCCTGATCAGTATCAATGATGCCATTATTCATCGAGCCTGACAAATAGGTCGGTTTCAGGAAATATGTGCTTCCCCTTCTCCACTTCCCCTGTTTTCCACCAGATAATGAATGCTTCTATCTTAATGTTTTTATTCCCAATTAAGAAGGAATTGTTATTTTTTAATGAAGAGAAAAATTAGTATGGAAACCATCAACTAATCTACACGTAACGTATTTACTAGGCAGATTATTTACAATAGATGTAAACTTGAGAGAATAGTAAGCATGAATTTTACCTTTTGCTAAGGAGAAGGAGCATCATAGTATTTGTATGATAATGGGAATATCTGAAGAATAAGAAAATATCCTCCCAAATTTTTTAAGTAGACAGTGCTCTATGAGCTGGCAGAAGCCAATTTCAGGGCTAACTGGGACATGGTACTCAATGTGATCATGCAACCTAAAATTTACTAAATTTTAGGCTATCAGTATGTTTAAAAATCATTTTGATCTTTTAAAATATATCTGAACTATCTGTAATGAAGAGCTACAGAAATCTTGAGTTTCACAACTAAATTTTATCATCTGTATGTAATGAAGTCATTTCTGGTTTGAAAAAAAAAAAGTTTGTTGCACATCCAGGCACATGAGTGATATATTGCAGAAGGCTAGAGTGTTCTCTGTGGGCAATAATGGAGGATGTGATTCCAGAAGATATGGAAAAGAAAGAGAAAAACAATCTTCCTTAAGCATTATTTTAACCACCTCACTCCAATAGCCCCTATTTTTCACCATATTAGTCTGAAGTTCTTAGAATTTCCTATTATCTGGCCTCATTCAACATGTACAAATAGGTCTCCCATCGCATCCCCAACAAGATGCATCTTCTTATTTTTCTTTCTTTCTTTTTTAATCTTAACTTTGCAGCTGGGTTCCCCCCCGCCAAGATATACCTTCTGCTCAGACCAGCATTACCACCATGGCTCTGTATCTTCCTTTACGGAAAAGTCAAATGAAAATATCATTTACGGGAACCTTCCATTAATCAGCACATAAAGTGACCTATTTAACCCTTACAGCAACCACATAGCATAGGTATTGCCATTTTTACTTTCTTCCATAGAAAACAAATTGTAGCTCAGAGAAATTAAGTAAATTGTCCAAGAGAACCAAGGCAGAGGTCCTGAAATTCAAACACAGGTCTCACGTCAAAATCCATGTGCTCTCCTTGACACATGTCACTTCCTCTTGTCTGGATGCCTTCTAGGCTTCCCTTTGACTAAACTCTAAACAACTCATATGTTGACAAGTAATAATCATATATATTTATGGTATACAACATGATGTTCTGATATATGTATCCCTTGTGGAATGGCTGAATCAGGCGATTTAATGTATGTGTTGTCTCAAATACTTATCTCCTCTATGTTCCATCTGCTCTCTGGTGCCTTCCCAGACAATTGGTGCCTTTCCAGATTTTCTCTCTTTAAAATCTGGTGCCTTTTCTCTTTCTCTTTAAAATCTGGTGCCTTTCCAGATTTTATCTCTCCTTGGATTTTATGTAACACTTAAAATCTATAAAATTTAGAGTTTAAATATTATCTCAAAATGTTATTTGGTATGCATTTCTTTTGCTTTCTAACTTATTTTTGGATTTCTCAAGGGCTTCATGGGCTGCACACACACAGTGGGTTGGGGGGGGAGTCATGAATACTTAAAAAATTATTGTGAGACTTTCTGGCTTCCTGAGTTATATGAGAGGAACCAACAACAGACACTGGGCTGAGGCACTGAATGAGTGGTGAGAGGAGTCCCAGAAGAGACAGTGGAGAAGGTAGAATGGGGTTATATAATAAAGGACCTCAAATGTAGTCCAAAGAGTATAGATTTTTTCTAGCATGTGATGAGGAGTCCTGGAAAGTATCTGAGAAGTGCATGAGAAGAGCTCCAGTTCAGGAAGATATATATGGCTGCATCTTGAGTAACATAAATTGAACACGGTTAATGACGGGTTTGTATAACCATAGCATTTATCCCCATTTGTCTCTGCATCTGTAGGAAATGTTTTACTTTTGTTGTTGATTTAAATCTAAAAGTACACACCCGGCACAAAAATACAGAGTGCTAACAAGTCAAGACTGTTCCAGACTCTGAAGAACTTATTACATAAAGTCCCAAAGGACTGATAAAAAGACAAATTAATTACAACCAACATTATGAACTACTTACTCACTTTAATAAAATATATTGCTCAAGTTGTAGGAATGATATTTGGAAAGGCTAATTTACCCAGTGTGAGCAACTGAAGGAATTCTCCTAGTCCAAGATTGTTAACTCTTGAAAAAATTATGTTATCAAACAATTTCTCAAGTTTGCTTTATATGGCAAGGAAAAACCTATCAATAAACAAAACATTAATTTTCTTTAAACTAGTCATGTGCTTTTACCTCCAAATCTTTTAAGGCCAATATCCTCCCTTCATTTTTTTGTTTTTAACTAACTGAGAATGTCATTCAGCTGATGCTCTTATAAGTAGAAATAAGGAGAAAACACTCAGTAGGAAGAAATAGTTCACGAGCTCTATTGTACAACACGGTGACTATAGTTAATAACAACGTACTGTATTCCTGAAAATTGCTAACTGAGTAGACTTTAAGTGTTCTTACCACAAAAAAGGATAAGTTCATGAGGTAAAGCATGTGTTAATTAGCTCAATTTAGCCATTCCATAATATATACATATTTCAAAACATCACACTGTACATGATAAATATATGCAACTTTCATTTGCCAGTTAGAAAAATAATTTTTTTTTATTTTTTTGAGACAGAGTCTCACTCGGTCACCTAGGCTGTGGTGGGACCTCGGCTCACTGCAACCTCTGCCTCCTGGGCTCAAGGCATTCTCCCGCCTCAGCCTCCCAAGTAGCTGGGATTACAGGCGCCCACCACCACACCTGAATAAGTTTTGTATGTTTAGTAGAGACGGGGTTTTGCTATGTTATTCAAGCTGGTCTTGAACTCCTGACCTCAAGTGATCCGCCCACCTCGGCCTCCCAAAGTGCTGGGATTACAGATGTGAGCCACCATGCCCGGACGAAAAATAAATTTTTAAAAAGATGAAATATCTAAGAAAAAGGGGGCATAATCAGAAGCAAAAGAACCAAAAACTTCCTCCACCAAACCAAATGCTTCCCTCTGGAACTAAAGCAATTGTGACTGACTCCTAGGAAAGCCTATGGTCATAAATTATAAAACAGCAGTCATTTGTGTTGGATGGAATGAGGATAAAATACCACAAGGAGGTCAGGTGAACAATTTGAAGCTTAATAAAAATCTGTTCAAGGATTTTACAAGTAAGTGGCAGACCCAGATTCTGAAACCAAATCTTATTGACTTCAAAACTCATGTGGTATAATTGGAAAGAACAGGTGTGAATTACACAGGGAAAGTAAAACTCCAGAGGAATTAAAGAAAATAAACTCAATGGAAGAAGAGGCCAGAAGCCCAACTGTCAGGTGTAGAGGGAGAAAACTTACCAGCGTATTTTGTAGTGTTAGATTCATCCATGGACCAAAAGCAATAATCAAAGGCAAATACCTGAATGAAAGAACAAAATATTAAACTTAAAGATTAATTAACTTCTTATGAGTAAATCAGACTAAAATAAATCACAGGTGAAGATGAGAAGGATGGCCACTACTGTCTGACTGAAAAAAATCACTATAGGTTTGGTGCTTTTGTTAACCATAAAATTTCTTATTTTCCTCTTTTTTGGGGGACAGGGTCATCCAGGCTGGAGTGCAGTTGAACTATCACAGCTCACTGAAGCCTCAAACTCCTGGGCTCAAGGGATCCTCCTGCTTCAGCCTCCTGAGTAGCTAGGACCACCAGTGCATGCCACCATATCGAGCAATTAAAAAAAAAATTGTTGCAGACAGGAGGTCTTGCCCTATTGCTCAGGCTGGTCTCGAACTCCTGGCCTCAAGTAATCCTCTCTCTTCTGCCTCCCAAAATGTACTGGGATTATAGGTGTGAGCCATCGCGCCTGGCCCTATGATATTTCTTTTAGACTAAATATATGGTTAGCTTTCTGTATTAGAATAAGTTGTATATGAAAATTACTATTTATCTAGAATTCAAATAACCAGACATTTTAACGAGATATTTTTTTCCACAATACATCTGATGAGAAAACACAAAAAACAAAAACAATATCTTCTCTCGCAAGTCCATGGTTTCAGCAACCATGGAACCTTCCAGGTCGATCTCCCTCAGCTTCTCAATACTCAACTTTCATATAAAGCAGTTCCTTCTCCTAGCTTTCCATGATATCATCTGTAGCATACTGAAGTTCAAAACTCTCCATATTCCCATCCTGCACTCCTTTCCCCTTCTGTCTCTGCAGGCAATCTCCAGCAAAGCATGTTTTTGTTTTTGTTTTTGTTTTTTGGTGGTGGTGGGGGGGGTTCTTACTGTATTTTTAATATACAATTCCTCGAAAAGTAAAGATGTGAAGCAACTTTACATGTTTAGCAATTTTACATGTTTAGTATTTGGCATGTCTTTTACATGTAAAAGTATCTCTTCATATTTTTTAAATTTTAATTTTTTTTGAGTTGGAGTCTCGCTTTGTTGCCCAGGCTGGAGTGCAGTGGTGCGATCTCGGCTCACCGCAACCTCTGCCTCCCGGGCTCAAGTAATTCTCCTGCCTTCAGCCTCCTGGGTAGCTGGGACTACAGGTGCTCGCCACCATGCCTGGCTAATTTCATGTTTTATCTTTTTTTATTTTTCTATAAGTTATTGGGGTACAGGTGGTATTTGGTTACATGAGTTAGTTCTTTAGTGGTGATTTGTGAGATTTTGGTGCACCCATCACCTGAGCAGTGTACACTGCATCATATTTGTAGTCTTTTATCCCTCGCCCCTCTCCCACTCTTCCCCTCAAATCCCCAAACTCCCCTGTATCATTCTTATGCCTTTCTGTCCTCATAGCTTAGCTCCCACATATCAGTGAGGACATACAACGTTTGGTTTTCCATTCCTGAATTACTTCATTTAGAACAATAGTCTCCAATCTCATGCAGGTCGCTGCAAATGCCGTTAATTCATTCCTTTTTATGGCTAAGTAGTATTCCACCACACACACACACACGCACACGCACGCACACACACACACACACACACAGCATGGTTCCTTTATCCACTTGTTGACTGATGGACATTTGGGTTGGTTCCACGATTTTGCGATTGTGAACTGTGCCACTATAAACATGCATGTGCAAGTATCTTTTTCGTATAATGACTTATTTTCCTCTGGATAGATACCCAGGAGTGGGATTGTTGGATCAGATGGTAGTTCTACTTTTAGTTCTTTAAGGAATCTCCACACTGTTTTCCATAGTGGTTGTACTAGTTTACATTTCCACTAGCAATGTAAAAGTGTTCCCTGTTGACCGCATCCACACCAACATCTACTGGTATGAAATCATTAATTCACTTTTACATGAATTAACTTTCTGTATAGCTACTGAATGCCTACTATATACCGGGAATGGCTGGTGCTTCTTGGTGCTTCCCCTGTAAGGACTCCCATCAAACTGCTGTTTTTTCTTTTCCTTTTTTTTTTTTTTTTGAGACAGAGTCTCACTCTGTCACCCAGGCTGCAGTGCAGTGGCATGATCTCAGCTCACTGCAGCCTCTGCCTCCTGGGTTCAAGCAATTCTCCTGCCTCAGCCTCCCAAGTAGCTGGGACTACAGGCACGCACCACTATGCCCAGCTAATTTTTGTATTTTTAGTAGAGACGAGGTCTCACCATGTTGGCCAGGGTGGACTCAAACTCCTGACCTCAAATGATCTGCCTGCCTCAGCCTCCCAAAGTGCTGAGATTACAGGCGTGAGCCACCATGCCTGGCCCTAACTGCTGTTTTTCATGCCCATTACCACCACTTGTGTTCCAGCTGTTATTATCAAATGTGTAGAGCAATGTTCCCCAAAGTGTGTTCTAAGGAACCAGAGTTTCATGAGCTACTCCATGAAAAAAGACCAAATCATGTTGGAAGTGGTGCACGTTTTATCCTATTTGAGATTCTCAATGAAATTCTCAATATTAAAGGCTCTAAAAAGTCTTCCAGAGACTTTTCAGAAATGAAGTCCAGGAAAGAAGCCTATTTGATTGTTTAACATTTTATTTCCCCAATTCATTTTGGTGAGGAGACCCTTTTTGGACTAACACTTATTAACATGCCTTGGAACTACTACTTCTCAGCATATCCCTTAGCAAATGCAGCCCAGGTGACTCAGCAGCTACCTTCCTGGGCTCACTGCTATTGCCCTTTATCTCTTGCAGTCCAAACAGCAAATTACAAACCTCCCATGGGCAGGATCCTTTAATGCTTAATCACTTCCAAGAGATCTTAAGCACTGAGCATACAGAACCCATGCTCTTTGGCCTGGCATTTGAGACTAGCCACAATAGGCCCTCCCAGCCTATTAACCCCAAATTCCTCATGCTCCAGTGGAACTTGTCCTTACCTCAGAATTACTAAGTATAATTTCATCTCTGTCCTTGTTCTCTCCTTCATTTCCACCCTTCAAAATACGTCATACCCCTTAAGGCCCAGTTCGATACATTTTTCCTCCCAGAAGCATTCTTGGTTAAATCCAAAGGAATCATCTTTTCTTTCTCTGAAACCTTACAACACTGTTTAGTCCTTTTTTATGGCTCCTATCTCAATTATTTTATTTTTCATTTATCATGTATATGATCTGTGTGTGTGAGACAGCATTCATTCATTCATTCATTCATTCATTCATTCAGAGACAGGGTCTCCCTCTGTTGCCCAGACTGGAGTGCACTGGCACTATCATGGCTCACTGCAGCCTCAATCAGCTCAATTGATCCTACCTCCTCAGCCTCCTGAGTAGCTGGGACTACAGGCACATGCCACCATGCCCAACTAATTTTTGTGTTTTTTGTAGAGATGGGACTTCGCCATGTTGCCCAGACTGGTATCAAACTCTTGGGTTCAAGCAATCCTCCCACCTTGGCTTCCCAAAGTGCTGGGATTACAGGCATGAGCCACTGTGCCCGGCCTGTATATATGTTTCATCTCCACTTGTAGACTAAGTTCCCTGAAAGCAGGATCCATATCGAATTCATCTTTGAAGCCTGCAATGTTTATAGTAGTCACTTTATAATTACTTATTGATGTACTTAATGGCATTAAGATCTCGCAGGGAAACAGGCATTTTTTTACATTATAAAAGACTAGTAAGTTATACGCAATGTTCTCTCTCTCTTGCCAAAAAAAAAAAAAAAAAAAGACTAAGTTATGTTCTGAATAGTTTCAGCACTATATATACTTTATTTTAATGTTTTTAAAACTGATTTAGGTATATATGATGTACTCAACTTACATCATCAACCCGAGATCCAAATTCAATTTTGTTACTTAAACAAACATTCACTCTGGTTTTATAATAACCAAGTTTCAAATGAACAGTTATGAAACAATAGTTTCAGCCAAGAGAATGTGGAATATTTACTGCATTCAAGGGCTCTTCCAATGACTCTAGAGACCGACCACACAGGCGTAATCCAGTTAATCTTCCTGCCTCTGGGTAGGACTGAACTTCAACACTTCTAAGAGATGATGATCTATCTTGTTTTTAAACATCTCCAGAAAAGGAGATTCCACAAACTCCCTTTAATGGCATCTTATAATACTTAACTTTTATTTCCAGGACATTTCCCTTTTCTTTTGACCTAAGTCAACTCTCCTTACTTTAAACAGCCAATAGAGGCTATTTTCCTTTCTTTTCTTTTCTTTTTGTTTTTTTTGAAGTATCTTTACCGCTCTCCTTCTTATATCCCGGGCACTGTGCCCAAGCTTGATCCATGGTGAATTTCAGTGACATGCGTCATCCTAAATATTAAGAAAAAAAAAATCCTCCCACCAAGAACCTTTGGTTTTCAACCTCATTCTGTGCTGCTTTCAATAACTTCTGGTTTCTGCACTAAAAAAATTTGCAGTCAGTATTTACTGAGCATGACTACAAATCAGGCCTAGTAGTAGCCATCTAATTCATTAATTCACTTATCCATTCACAAATATTTATTGAGTACCTATTGTGTGCTAAGCGCTAGAATTATAGCAGTCAAAAAACATGCAAAGACTCGTGGAGCTCATGAGTATCCTATTACTTGCATTATCTGTAGTAATACTTATATTATTCATGTCCCTTATGAAGCTCCCAGTGAGGTGAAGGGAGAGAAGCAATATGCAAGCAACCAATAAACACATATGACGCCAGGAGGTAATCAGTGACACAAAAATGTAACAGCAAGGGGGCACTGGAAAAAACTGGAGCAGGTCCTATGAAAGCCTGTGGAAAAGCATGACAGCCAGATGGAATAGCAGGTGCAAAGGCACTGGGGCAGAGAGTGCCTGTGTGTTCAAGGACTGTGTTTTGAACACAGTTATTGTTATATATAGTGGAATAATCATTTATTCACTTCTTCAGTTATTGCTATATGTAGTGGAATAATAATTTATTTTCTACATGTTAATTTTTCATGCCTACCTCTAACTTTTTTTTTTTTTTTCATTTTTGTTTTCTTTATAGAGACAGGGTCATGTTGTGTTGCCAAGGCTGGTCTTAACTTCTGGGATCAAGCGATCCTCCTGTCTTGGCTTCCCAAAGTGTGGTATTACAGGCATGAGCCACTGCATCCAGGTCAAACTTAATTTAACAATTTGCTATTCTTCAAATAAAGTTAGAAAGCTAGACATTTACATTCATAGTAATGCTACTTAAAATAAAAGAGATCTACCCCAAATTTTGAGGGTCTACCTGTCAGTAAGAATTATTCCAAAGTCTGTGAAAACTTCTAACAATCAAAGAGTTAATCATTTAAAGTTGTTTTTGCCAATAAAAGGGCACGAGACCATTTTCATTTTAAGCATTTGCCCCCTAGAATTCAGACAAATATTAAAACCCTGCAGATGAAAAGAGTCCTAACAATACTGATAGATACAACTGTTCTTTGCTTGCCAAAGAGCAGCACCCTTTGAACTGCATTATGTCTTGAATTTCAAAATCTCTGATCACAGGCATTTTAGAATGGTGATACCTCAAACCAGTCTTGGAGTATAGGTTGTTATTTTATTAAACATTTACTAGGAAGAAAGCTGAAGTCCAGAAATCTACATGATTTCCCTAAAACTCAAAGCAAGTGAATAGAAAAATTTTTGTTGTATTCTTTTCTCAGCTGGAAGTGATCTCCCAATCCCCTTTCCCTCCTATGAAATTTTACAGCAGTTTGTAGCTCCCTTGACACTGATTTACATACGGTCCTGTTTTATGCCTTGGTTCTTCTGTGTGGGTCTTACTTCCAAATCTAAATGGTGAGCTCCATGGCAGCAGGAACTATGTTCCATGCACCCCATAGTGCCTGTTTCAGTATTTCATACAGGGCAGGCACTGTATGTAATATTTTTTCAATTAATAAACATATTACCAGGGGAAGGAGTTGGAACACAGACAAGAGCATGGAGTGGATGTAAGAACTATTATGAGTAAGCAGAGGTTCAAGCTGCAGGATATATTTTTAGATGTTTCATTACTTTCACATGCATGGTTTGGGGGAACTTGATTCCTGCAATGGTCAAATAAGGATTCGGTCACTAGATGAGCACTGGGGTCCCCTTCAGCATCATTATTCCATGGTTCAGGTGGATAAACAAGCAAGGGCATATCATGCACAATTTGTAGTCTGCACAGAAATTAGAACATTTATTTGTTTGACTGTCACTAGAAAAATTATGGCCGTTACTAATGCAGTTTTAAAGATGTTTAAATTAATTCCTTTGTCATGTCCTTGACATTTCCCTTGCAATCTCTTGTTAGTTCCATAAACTATTTACAAACTATTACCCTTCCTTTCATGCCAAAATGTAATTATATGAATAACACAAGGTTTGTTACAAAAGGAGACATGCTTTTCTTAGGTCTTTACAGTAGTTTTGATTTTCCCATACAAAATACATTGACATTTCAAAAGGGAGAAAACCAATTTCTCAAGACTTATTCCTTGGAAACTGACTACTTTGTTTTTTTCTAATTTTTTAAAAACTTTATTTTAGAGAGAGGGTCTTGCTCTGTCACCTAGGCTGGAATGCAGTGGCATGGTCATAGCTCACTGCAGCCTCAACCTCCCAGCTCAAGCGATCCTCCCAAGAGTAGCTGGGACTACAGGCGCATGCCACCATGCCCAGCTAATTGTTATTTTTTGTAGAGATGGGGGCTCGCTGTGTTGCCCAAGCTAGTCTCGAATTCTCCTAGCCTCAAGTGATCTTCCTGCTTTGGCTTCCCAAAGTGCTGGGATTACAGTTATGAACCACCATGGCTGGCCAGAAACCGATGACTGAAGAAAAATAAAGTCTTATTTTTTGCAAACCCACCATATTATACTAGAAAAATGTTATTTAAGACTTCTAATTGGGCCAGGCTCAGTGGCTCACAGCTGTAATCCCAGCACTTTGGGAGGCCAAGGCGGGCGGATCACCTGAGGTCAGGAGTTCAAGAGCAGCCTGACCAACATGGTGAAACCCCATCTCTACTAAAGATACAAAAAATTAGCCAAGCGTGGAGGCACGCACCTGTAATCCCAGCTACTTGGGAGGCTGAGATAGGAGAATCATTTGAACCCAGGAGGCGGAGGTTGCAGTGAGCCAAGATCGCACCATTGCACTCCAGCCCAGGTGACAGGGCGAGACTCTGTCTCAAAAAAAAAAAAAAAAAAAAAAAGGTCTTGCTCTGTTGTCCAGGCCAGAGACTGCAGTGGGGCTTGAGGCAATCACAGTTCACTGTAACCTCAAACTCCTGGGCTCAAGCAGCCTCCCGAGTAGCTAGGACTACAGGCACATGCCACCATACTTGTCTAATTTTGCTGTTGTTGCAAAGATGGGGTCTTGCAACATTGCCCAAGTTAGTATCGAACTCCTGACCCCAAGCAATTCTCCCACCTCGACCTCCCAAAGTGCTGAGCCACTGTACCTGGCCCAGCAGACTTCTTAATGCATACAGCTGAGTAAAACAACAAAATGCCAACCAAGTATAAATTTTACATTTTATCAATAAGAGCCAACATTGTGAGAACATTTTTTTTGCAAAGGCATTCATAGCTTTTCAACGGAAAAAACAGCCAAAAGCATAGATGTTTTGTAGTCGTTTTTGAAATCTGAAAGCTATTGCCTTCACTGTTTTCAACAAAATTTGACTCCACCTTCTCAGAATCCCACTCCTTCCTCTTAGTTTGCAACTTATAAAACTCATACCAGGATTTAATTCCCTGCAGCTTGTGGTACATCTGCTCCACCTTTATCAGGCTCTTAAAAATGTTAGCTTTGCATTTTTGTGAACCACTGAACATCTAATAAAGTTACTAAAGCTGTTTTTAATAAGGCAAATGTGTTGAGAGATATATATAATCTGAGGTAATGAAGTTCCATGACTTACGAATAGGATGTAGTACAGTTAAACTCCACTTTTACTTAAAAGTCATCTCTGATGGCATTTCAGCAAAAGTCAATTTACAGTTAAAAAAAAAAAAAAAGGCCAGGCACAGTGGCTTATGAGGTCAGGAGATCGAGACCATCCTGGCCAACATATGGTGAAACCCTGTCTCTACTAAATATACAAAAATTAGCTGGGTGCGGCAGTGCACGCCTGTAATCCCAGCTACTCGGAAGGCTGAGGCAGGAGAATCACTTGAACTCAGGAAGCGGAGGTTGCAGTGAGCTGCGATTGCGCCACTGCACTCCAGCCTGGCGACAGAGCTAGACTGTGTCTCAAAAAAAAGCAGCAGCAATGGCCAGGCACAGGGCTCACGGCTGTAACCCTAGCACTTTGGGAGGTGGAGGCAGGCGGATTACTTGAGATCAGGAGTTTGAGACCCTCCTGGCCAACATGGTGAAACCTTGTCTCTACTGAAAATACAAAAATTAGCTGGGTATGGTGGCATGTGCCTGTTATTCCAGCTACTCGGGAGGCTGAGGCATGAGAAATGCTTGAACCCGGGAGACTGAGGTTGCAGTGAGCTGAGATTGTGCCACTGCACTCCAGCCTGGGCAACAGAGCAAGACTCTGTCTCAAAAAAATAAAAAAAGAAGTAAGATCTTCTATGTTCCCTGCAGAACCAGAAGGCATCTGTGTTTTAAGATATGTAATCTGTAACCATTTTTCTGATCCATAAAAACGAGATGTGAAGGTGCTTTCAACTGCATTATCTCTGTATCCTTTCATTTGTCCTTTCGAGTTGTGTGCTTTCACTAATATGTTCTCCAACTGCAAAATGGTCAATCTGGAAAGCAATAAACTAACACCCACTTGTTACCTTTTTCAATTTTAGGGGCTACAGGGAACTCAAGTATGTACTAGGCATGTTTGTATCCTCTTGCTTACAGTCTAGTTAAAAAGGCAAAACACAAAACAAGTATTCTTTTTCTAAGAAAAGTAATTTTTTTCCCTAAAATCATTTTAATACCTCTCAGAAACCCTCCTCAGACACAAAGTGATTAATATTTATTATGTCAAGATAATTTAATTTTATGTAAAGAAATATTTCTGGACATATACATCAGATTTTTGCAAAGTGAGCCAAAACCTACCCCCTTTTAATTTGTTTCCTTTTAATGTCATCTCAAATGTCACTCCTTTATAAATTTTTTTTTTTTTTTGATGGAGTCTTGCTCTGTCGCCCAGGCTGGAGCGTAGTGGCATGATCTCAGCTCAGCACAACCTCTGCCTCCCAGGTTCGAGCGATTCCCTTGCCTCAGCCTCCTGAGTAGCTGGGACTACAGCTGCCCACTACCACGCCTGGCTAATTTTTGTATTTTTAGTAGAGATGGAGTTTCACCATGCTGGCCATGCTGGTCTTGAACTTCTGACCTCAAGTGATTTGCCTACCTTGGCCTCCCAAAGTGCTGGGATTAAAGGCGTGCGGCACGGCACCCGGCCTGCTTATAAAACTTTTAAGGATACTATTTCTCATTATCCTGAATTTCCATATCTGTCTAATCAGATTCTGTATGTGTGTATATATATGTATACATCTATTTATATACAATTCCCTTTGTTCTGCTACAATATTAATTCTTAGAGGATAAAGCCTTGGTTTCCCTAATCTTTTCATTACCAAAAATACTCGGCGAATTTACATTTTAAAGCAACTTTTGCTGGGTATGGTGGCTCATGCCTATAATCCCAGTGTTTTGAGAGGCTGAGACTGAAGGATCACTTGAAGCCAAGAGTTCAAGACCAGCCTGGGCAACATAGTCTCTACAAAAAATAACATTAGCCAGCTGCAGGGGCATGTGCCTATAGTCCCAGATACTCAGGAGGCTGAAGCAAGAGGACTGCTTGAGCCCAGAAGTTTAAGCCTGCAGTGAGCTGTGATCATGTCACTGCACTCCAGCCTGGGTCACAGAGCAAGACTGTCTCTAAAAAATAAAATAAAAATAATAAAAAAAAATAAGGCAACTTCCTGGTGAACTAACTACCTCTTAATCAATCATGTAAATCTGTTTTCACATGTGACATCTGCTTAAAATAGCACAGATCAGTCAGTGTAAATCCTTCAGTGGCACAGCCAGGATAGCAGCACCCCAACGATACTTTGCCAAAGCCTCCATTTTTACTTCAACTGCCACAGTAACAGACTGGTGTCACCCTACAGGCATTATTTTTGTGTTTACTGGATTCCCACTGCTTTCCCAAAAAGACATAAGAAATGACCCTATTCATCTGTATATTACGTCAATGGTCAGCCAACTTCTCAGCTCTGAGAGATTCCACCAATGATCAAGAAATCCTTTGGGTATATTGAACACAGTGAGATGTCTAGGGAAAAGAAGAAGGAAGGGGAGAGCCAGGTGCAATGGTATGCACCTGCAGTCCCAGCTGCTTGTGAGGCTGAGGTGGGAGGATCACTTGAGCCTGGGAGTTTGAGGCTGCAATGAGCTATGATCACACCTGTGAATAGCCACTGCACTCCAGCCTGGACAACCTAGTGAGATCCCATTGCTAAAAGGAAATAATAATATTAACAAAAAAAGAGAAGGAAATCATAATAATAACAAAAAAAGAGAAAGGAATGTAGAACTATGAGGGAATTTCTCCTTCCTGTAATTCTCTGCCTTTCCTCACCTTGCCTCCCTGCCCAGTGAAGTACAACTCACACTACTCAAGACCTGCTCAAATGTCACCTCCTCCAATGTTTTCTCAACTTCCTCCCTATAATTATTGCCTCCTCTGGGCTGTCTTAGCCAACAGCTCTCCCTCTCTAACACACACTCATCTACCTAAGTAACTGCACATTTTACATTAATTTGGGATTGTGGTAACATAAATGGAATACCTACTAAGATAATGCTTGGCACACAGTGAAATTCAGTCTATGGCAGCTACTGTTATCAATATTATCATTATGTACTGATGGACTTCGCTCCCCCATTAATAGCATAGCTACTGCTGTAGAGCGTTTGTTATGTACCAGGCACCAACCTAAATACTTTATATTCTCACCAAGCTGGAAGGTTTTCTGAGCCAGGGACTGTGCTAACTCATCTTTATTCTCTCTAGGTACAGGATAGTGTAGATGGGTACTCAGTATTTGCTGAATTAAATAGAAAGAGAAGTGAAAAGGCAAAAAAGGCCATGTGTGTGGGAGTTGCTACAGACTGTTTGGTTCTGTGTCAAAAATATCAATGCAAAACACACTACTTCCTAGCGCCCAAATCTAAAATCAAAAGGGCTTCCCTTGGGGAAAAAAGTCTGCTCTATGTGGACTTGCTTTGCTTTGTATGAAGGAGTGTGTCCTCTCCTCTACACTGCCTTCTTCCTCTCTTTGTACAATTAATCCGCTGTTCACATCTGCAGACCCAGCTGCCATTAACAGCCTGTTCTGCCACTATCTACTTTGAAAACTGAGCCCCAGAGCTCTCTGAAAAGCCCCATTTCTCCAGTTTTAGGAACATTAGCTTGCCAATGTCCTGTTTTGTGGTTTTCAACTTTGTCAATTTGAAAGACTACAATTAATATGAAAGCGACACTTCAAATGTGTTCACATTTCACCACACCATGTTATGAGCACTGAGTCATACCAAGTAAAGTTCTAGATTTCACTTCATGTTCAAATTTTTCTTTTAATGCCAAGTTTCAATGCTTTTCTCTTTTTCATCTTTCTCCTGATATCAAAGTTGTGAAGATTCATAAAAGAAAAAAAGGAAGAGTTAAACTTCATTCATCTCAGAGGAACTGGACTGAAACTGAAAGGAAACCCCAGCACCAAGAGCCTGTGTGATCACAGAACTGCCTTCACTACTGCTTTTCTAAAAGCAGCTCTGCCAGGAGGAACTCCAGCATGTATCTGAACACATCTCCTAAGGAATGCTAGAGTCATCACCCTTATTACTGGTGAGTTTTATTGACAGATCTACCTTCCCATTTAAACATATGTCAAGTAACAGCTGTCTTTTGGCAATGTAATTAATCATTTCCTTTACATATGCCTATAGATACATACCAAATAATGTCTTGCATTACAGTCGGCATGGACTGATTGTGAAGATGTGAAAGCCTCTTAAAGATTCAAAGCCAACAGCATTTGCTGCACATCTACAAGGCATTGTCCCTGATCTCAGGGAATGCACGGTCTGTTCTAGAAAACAACTATCCTTGGAAAATACTACTCTGCATTGCAGTTCAAATTTCTATGGATGCAAGGAGAAGGTATCTCTACAAAGAGCTAATTCATGCTTTCATTCATTTAATGAATAAATCTGAAAACAGGAAATCATCCTCCCAAAACCCAGACCAATATTATAACAGCACAGAGCTTCCATTTAACACTGCACACATAAACTAGTGGTGCATAAGCAATGAAGCACTAATTCAGTTCTAACTCTTTCAAATACTCTACTCATTTCATATTTAATCCTCTATCATTCATTTTCAAAATCCGCTTCACTGGTGGCTGAGGAGTGGGGGTCGGAGTGTCACAAATGCACAATCTGTGGTATTTCCAGTTCTTTCATATCCTGATCACTTCTCAAAAAACCTAGCCACCCAAATAACTTCTTCAACAGCACATTCAAAGGTGATGTGGATATTTTCAAACACAGAATACTTCTTCTTCAATAAAAACAGTCCAAAAGATAAGTTGCAAATGTCTAAGCATCTGCTATCAGATCCTATCTGCTATCTCTGATAAATGATTATTGTTACTCATAAAAATGAGAAGAAAAATAAAACCTAGATTAAATCTGAGTCATGCTAATATCACCCACCATGAGCAATCTCTGGGTCTGGCTCAGAACTTCTGGACCAAGACCTCATTTCTTGTGCCTATCTCTCCAGTCCCCTCTGCCTCACTGCACCATGCCAGGTACATAGAGCCACAGAGAGGAGAATGCTAGGCTGACTCCATGGCCCCAGGTCACCAAAGCTAAAGGACCTGAGGCAGTCCAGGGGTTGCAAACATTTACTCCCAGTTAAGTTACGCTGCAAAGGACTGATGAAGAGTTCACACTGCTGCGGCTGACTCGGGCCAAGTGGGAGCCAAGAGACTCCCTGGTCCAGAAGGCTTTCACTATTCTAGACAGGGAGATGGATCAACACCAAGAGACAAGGGAGATGGATATCTTTTCTTCCTGGGGCCTATACTCCATGTGACCTGGTACTCCGTCAGTGGTACTGTAGACATCTAAAGGCACAGAGTTCCAGTGAGAACATTTGGTTCTGAACAAAGTCGGGCAGAAGGAAAGGGGAGAGTAGAACCTGTAGGAATTTCAAGATAGAAACACACAGCACTTCACTTGAACCCGGGAGGTGGAGGTTGCAGTGAGTTAAGATCATGCCATTGCACTCCAGCCTGGGCAACAAGGGCGAAACTCCATCTCAAAACAACAACAACAACCACAACTACTAACAACCACCACCACCACCCTATGTTTCTGAGGATTGTTTTGTTGTCGTTGTTAAAAAGAGGAAAAAAAAAAAAGTCTTGGGAAATTTTTAGAAGGATGATTTATAATGACAAAGTGTGGTATATTGCATTACTGTTCCAAATGATTCCTGGCCCTCCTGGTAAGGGAATTACACATCCCTGCCTATTGCCACATGACATGCAGTGCCTGTAGTAGGAAGGAATACAATTCCTCACCATACTGACATCAGGCTTAGCTGTGTGACTTGCTTTGGCCAATTAAGTATGAACAAAGTGACATATGCCAGTCTGGGCAACAGCTTTAAGAAGCCACTGCACAGTTCTCTTTCTTTGTTCCCCTCTGTCACAGTATTAGCAAGTCCCAGATAGGGGTTGTTCCTTCAATCTGGAGCCCAGATTGAAGTCATATGGTATACAGCCACAGGGAACCTCGGCTGACATGTAACATCAGGGAAATATATTTTCGTTGTTTCTAGCCATTGAACATTTAAGGTTGTTACTGTTGCATCACGGAGCATAAGCAGGTTCACACACAAGGCAGTTCCTTTAAAATGAACCTAGATTATTATCCACCCTACATTCTATACTTATCAATTATCTTCTATCTTGCAGCCGTATGAATTTCTTGCAAGCACAGTTCTGATCATGTAGCTTTTCTATATAAAGATCCTAAATGATCTTCATAGCCTACCAGATTAAGTCCAGACTCCCAATGCTCTATAAACTACATTCTCCCAGTTTTTTAAAACACGATCTTCCTTTCATGTACTCTACACTTTAACCAGAGTGTGCAACTTATTTCCTAATACGTCAATTACTTTCTTGTTTGTCTTCCTTTACATACATCTTGATTCTTTTTTTGAGTCAGAGTCTCGCTCTTGTTGCCCAGGCTACAGTGCAGTGGCAGGATCTCGGCTCACTGCAACCTCTGCCTCCCAGGTTCAAGCAATTCTCCTGCCTCAGCCTCCCGAGTAGCTGGGATTACAGGCACCCACCACCATGTCCAGCTAATTTTTTTTTTTTTTTTTGTATTTTTAGTAGAGATGGGGTTTTGCCATATTGGCCAGGCTGGTCTCGAACTCCTGACCTCAGGTGATCCGTCTGCCTCAGCCTCCCAAAGTGCTAGGATTACAGGTGTGAGCCACTGGGCCCAGCCCCTGCATCTTGATTCTTATCCTAAATTTCTGCACTTTGACACCCTATCCATACTTGCAGGCCTCCTGAAGTTCCATGTTTAGCTATGAAGCCTTCTTCCTCAGAAGACACAAGACACAAAGTACTGAAGTAGTGAATGATGATGTTACCATAATCTATTTTCCACTACTTAGATTATAGTATATCTAATCTTCCTTATCATGTTATGAATTCTAGAAAACAAAAACTACTAGTTTAGTCACTCTTGAGCCTAGGAAACAATTCCTAGGAAAAACGTATAGTGAGAAGGTTATGCTGTCATTGAGTTCATGCAGCTGCAACACTCCTGGACCCAGATATAAAAGTAAAAATGTAAAAGATCAAGGTAGGTCTGCTGCATTTGACTGGGTAATGAAACAAGCAAAAGCCTTAGGAAGTATACTGGTGTTCAGTACTAAGCCATGGGTTTGATCTGAAACAGAGCTGTCCCATAGAAATATAATGCTAGCCATATAAATAATTTAAAATGTTTTTGTAGACACACTGAAAAGTAAAAGAGGCCAACCATGGTGGCTTATGCCTGTAATCCCAGCACTTTGGGAGGCCAAAGCGGGCAGATCACTTGAGGCCGGGAGTTCGAGACCAGCTTGGCCAACATGGTGAAACCCTGTCTCTACCAAAAAATACAAAAATTAGCTGGGCGTGGTGGCACAGGCCTGTAGTCCCACCTACTTGGAAGGCTGAGGTGAGAGAATTGCTTGAACCTAGGAGGTGGAGGTTGCAGTGAGCCGAGACTGTGCCACTGCACTCCAGCCTGGGTGACAGAGTGAGACCCTATCTCAAAAAAACAAAAAAGTAAAAAGAGATGAAATAATTTAATATAAAAATAATAATATATTTAACCAAATATATAAAAAATCTTATATTCTTTTTCTTTCTTGTACCAAGTCTTCTAAATCTAGCATATATTTTGTACTTAATCTCGAGCAACACCAGTCACATATCATATGTTCATAAACCACTTGTGGCTAAATGGCTACTGTACTGAATAGTACAGGTCTAGAACTCACCTCATTGAGGCCAAATGCTTAGTAGCAAAACAGTAGAGGCAACAGAAAATGAAGGCAGTCACAGATTGTGAAGCTAGACTAAATAAAGTTGCATTTCAGATGGCATAAGCTGTACCTAATAAGGTTTCCCCCTTACTTTTTCTGAGCAATTTTCATAAAGGCAGGTTTTTGGTATGTATCTGTGTGCTTCTTCAAATGACTCAGTTTCAAAAAGTAACAGTTTTGTTTTGTTATAATGTAGTCAATTTCTTCAGCTTACAATTTTGCCAAAAACTTATAAACATAGAAGTGAGATCAAACACCTTGAAGTTCAGTAACCTAACTCATAAATAAAACAAAAAACACCGAAAGTGAATTTAATTCACAAGCTCTAACACTCAAATAAACCGTACATGAAATTATAAGATACTAAACAAAACAATTGTGAGTTTAAAATGAGCAAACTGAGTAAAAAAGAATATGATCCTACACAAAGTGATTTTTCAGTTATTTATATGTTTTCCCTCAGATTCTTTCTTCTTACTCTTTCCTTATATCTTGGCACATAAAATCCAATACATAGAAAAACTCATTTACAATCATATGATGTCAAAGAAAATACACTTGTCCCTCTGTATCCTTGGAGACTGGTTCCAGGAGCCCCTGAGGACACCAAAATCCACAGATGCTGAGATCATCCTGGACTGTACCTGACTGGCAATCAGGAGGCCTAGACTGGAGCCAAGCTCTCCCCCTGGACGGTTTAGCCAATTAAGCATCAGTCTCCTTGGTCTTGAATAAAAAGATTTAAATCATCTAAGTTTAAAAATCTCTCTTAGCGCCAGGCATTGTGGCTCACTCTAGCACTTTGGGAGGCCGAGGCAGGCAGATCACCCGAGGTCGAGAGTTTGAGACCAGCCTGACCAACACGGAGAAACCTGTTGACAGGGAAAACCTGTTGACAGGAAAGACAGGGAAAAACCCTGTCTTTACTAAAAACACAAAATTAGCCAGGCGTGGTGACACATGCCAGTAATCCCAGCTACTCAGGAGGCTGAGGCAGGAGAATTGCTTGAACTTGGGAGGTGGAGGTTGCAGTGAGCCGAGATCGCACCATGGCATTCCAGCCTGGGCAACAAGAGTGAAACTTCGTCTCAAAAAAAAAAAAAAAAAATCTCTTCTAGCTATGTACTGCTAACTTGGGACATAGAAGGTTCTGAATAAATCTTGAGGGACAGAAGAAGAAAATGAAAAAAAGGAGGAAGAATTCTTTTTTTATTCCTGTGTGTGTTTCAATGTGGCTCCTCAGGAAGGAAAGAAACTTGACCCAGATAAGACAAAACCATGACAAGTGAGGGGTCTTGGAACATGCCAGATATTCTGAGGCCACCTGGGGATGCAGAAACTGGGCTTCTGCAGGCAGAGCTGCTTTGACTGAGGACACTTCCCTGTACCTATCAATAGAGCATACATAATGGCATAATTAGGTAGTGATTCTCCACACAAGTGTCGTCTTCCTCTGCACCACCTCCTGCCAAAATCCAAAGTTAATCAGAAGGTGGCTAAACTAACAAGCACTTTCCCCCTTCTCCTTCTTCTTTTTTTTTTTTCAAAGAGACAAGGTCTTGCTGTCACCCAGGCTAGAGTGCAGTGGCACAATCATACCTCAGTGAAGCCACAGACTCCTGGGCTCAAGCGATCTTCCCACCTCAGCTTCCCAGGCAGCTGGGACTACAGGGACATGTTACTATGCCCAGCTAATAATAATAATAATAATAATAATAATGTTATTATTACTATTGTTATTGTTAAAGACAAGGTCTCCTTATGTTGCCCAGGCTGGTCTCAAACTCCTGGCCTCAAGCAATCCTCCTGCCTCAGCCTCCCAAAGTGCTGTGATTACAGGCATGAGCTACCACACCCAGTCGAATTTCCCTAATTTACACCTATCTGCGATACTTCTCAGACAAAAACCTCAGACTCAAAACTACAGTCACACTGAGAAGGAAAGACACTCCAATCCTACAAATTATGAGACAAAGCCTCTTTTTTCCCCCTGTAAACTACAGAGAGGTAAGAAGCAGATGTCTCATGTTTGCCCAAAAGCTTGCTTTTCTGTTTAAAAGAAACAAAACACACTTCCATAAATACTACATCATAATACACAACTGGTAAAAGTACTAAAAGGTATGCATGAGGCTTATGCTGAAATAAATGTTTCTCCACTCAAGAGTGCAAATTTACAAAATGTAACATTTATCAAAGAGAAAAACCCAAAGATATGGTACAAAGCAATTTATAAAGACAGAAACTTATGTACATTTCCCTTGTATTCTGACATGTTACATTACACATGCTACATAAAAAAATTTAAATCTAACTTTTAAAACTCAGCTGGAAGAATATCTTCATCTTCTCCTTGCCCTAACACAACACTTAGAAAAAATAATTTTTAAGAGTTAGGAACAAAAGAAACCCAACTGGGGAGGCTGAGGAAGGAGGATAGCTTGAAGCCAGGAGTTTGAGACCAGCCTGAGCAACAGAGTGAGACCTCATCTTTACAAAGAATTAAAAAATTAGCCAAGTGTGGTGGCTCATGTCTCTCGTCTCAGCTACTTGGGAGGCTGAGGCAGGAGGATTGCTTGAGCCCAGGAGTTTGAGGCTGGAGTTTGACGATGCAGTGAGCTATGATTGTGCCACTGTACTCCAGCCTCGGTGAGACCCTGTCTCTTAAAAAAAGAAAGACACCCAATTTGGGGAGAACAAGTGTATGAATTCTCAACTCCACCACCACCAACAGCACCATTCATGAATCCATGGCTTTTCTTAATTTTCATTGGTTCTTCCTCCTCTTTTCATTCTCCAAAGCAGAGTGAGTCCCAAGGTGCTATCCTCTATTCTCTCATGTCTTCTATTCCACTTAATCCTGTTTTCCTTGACAAGAGATACCTCTTCCTCCACTTCCTACTCTCTTCACCCCAATAATTTACCTGATCTTTGTAAGGCAGAGTCGGCAAATTCGTATCACCTGCTAAGCATCCTATCAGATGGCTGCCATCACTTCCAACTCAGCCCACTCTAGAACGTAATCAACTTCCCACTGAACCAAACTAGCTCTTCCTTCTTTAGTTTATGTTGATTTGATTTTTCATTCACTCAGTTTCAAATCCGAGACATCTCTGACTCTTGATATACTGTCTTCTCCTATATGCTGTTAGCATCAAAGTCCTGGTTACTTTATTTCTGTAATGTTTTCGTAATTCTTCCCTTCCTCTTTCCTGCTCTAATGGGCACTGCTCCTGTGCAAACCCTTATTTCCTTTTTTTCTGATGTATTTTACTGAATACTACCACTAGCCTCCCTACTGATCAAGCTTTGTTCAAAACAGGCAATAGAGACACTGAAGGTATCAAGGTCCAACCCTGACATCAAGGCCTGCCACAGCTGGGTGATACATCACTGTGCAGTGATAAGAGTGTCTTTTGTATGCTAATGAGATGACTGGTGGCTGGGGTCCCCAGGTGGCTTCAAGATAGGGCTGCTTACCAGAAAGACCAAGGCAGGATTAGAGGGTTGGAACATTTAGCCCAATTCTTGACTTCTGGGAGGGGAGAGACACTAGAGACTGAGTTCAATGGATTCAATCAATTATGCCTATGTGATGGAGCCTCCATAAACATCCCTAAACTACAAGGATGGGAGAGCATCTGGGTTGCTGAACACAAGAAGGTACTGGAAGGGCAGTACACACAGAAAGGGCAGAGAGGCTTCATGCTGCCTTGCCCTATGCATTGCTGCCATCTGACTCTTCCTGAGTTTTATCCTTTATCAAAGCTGGCAATATTATGTAAAGGGCGTTCCTGAGTTCTGTGAGCCATTCTAGCAAATTATGGAACCTGAGGAGGGGGACACGGGAACTCTTGATTTATAGCCGGTAGGTCAGAAGTATAGGTGGCAACCTGGGACTTGCGAATGGCATCTAAAGTGGAGGCAGCCTTATGGGACTGAGCCCCTAACCTGTAGGTCTGTGCTAACTCCAGGTAACATGCCAGAATTGAACTAGATAGTAGGGCACTCAGTTGATTTTGGAGAATTGGAGAATTTACTGGTGCTGGGGAAAACACCATACATTTGGTGTCAAGAGTGCTGTGGGTAAATACAGTTCAGTCACCCAGGATTCCTCTTCATGTACCTTTAGTCCAACTCTATGCCTTGCCCTTACCTGAGCACAGCTGACACTTTCCTAGTTCTATGTCTTAGCACATCTGTCTACAATCAAATAACCAAATGTGGGTTTTAGAAGCTCTGCCTGTTTTTCACTCAATATATCCCAAGTATTTAATGTTTTTGATGTTTTGATGGTTAAAAATTTTATTTTTGAATTGTTTATTGATAGTATAAAGAAATATATTTTGACCTTTTTTCTGCCACCTTGCAGGAGCTTGTTTGCAGATTTCTTAAGGTTTTCCAAGTATACAACCTTATTGTACCTTATTGTAAATATACTTTTGCTACTTCCTTTCCATCTTGAATTTCCTTTACTTCTTTTCTTGCTTAACTGCACTGCCTAGGACCTCCTGTCAATGCACAATATAAGTGGTTAGATCAATATCCTCGCCTTATTCCCCATTTTAGGCAGAAAGTATTCAGTCTTTTACTATTACATAGGATGTCAGATGTAGATTTCTCATGGGCCTTTTATCATATTGAGGTTTCTGTCTACTGTTAGGCTGCTGCAAGTTTGTATCATAAATTCATAAATAAACATTGAATTCTGTCAAATGCTTTTTTTCCTGCATCTTTTTTTTTTTTTTTTTTTTTTTCTGAGACAGAGTCTTGCTCTGTCGCCCAGGCTGGAGTGCAGTGGCGCAATCTCGGCTCACTGCAACCTCTGCTTCCCGGGTTCAAGTGATTCTCCTGTCTCAGCCTCCCAAGTAACTGGGACTACAGGCGTGTGCCACCACACCCGGCTAATTTTTGTATTTTCAGTAAAGACAGGGTTTCACTGTGTTAGCCAGGCTGGTCTTGATCTCCTGACCTCGTGATCCTCCCACCTTGGCTTCCCAAAGTGCTGGGATTACAGGTGTGAGCCACTGCGTCTCACCCCATTTTTTTTTTTTTTTGAGACAGGGTTCTGTCGCCCAGGCTGGAGTGCAGTTGCATGATCAAGCTTACTACAGCCTAAACTTACCGTGCTCAAGTGATCATCCCACCTCAGCCTCCTGAGTAGCTAGGACTACAGGCATACGCCATCATGCCCTGCTAACTTTTTTTATTTTTAGTAGAGACAAGGTCTTGCTATATTGCTCAAGCTAGTCTCAAACAATCCTCCCACCTTGGCTTCCCAAGGCCGGGGATCACAGGCGTGAGTCACTGCACCTGGCCTTTTTCTGCATCTTACTGATATGATCACATAGTTTTTCTTTTTCATTCTGTTAATAAGAATTATAGTGATTTTTTCATAATCATGACTTTTTTTTTTACAGAAGTTTTAGGCTTACAAAAAACTTCGGCAGATAGTACAGAGTTCCTATATAGTCTCGCTTGTCCCCACTCCCTACTGTTAAGAATTGTTTCCCCAATTATTAACATCTTTATTAGTGTGGTACATTTGTTATAACTGATGAACCAATATTGATACATTATTCATAACTAAACTTCACGGTTTATATTAGGATCCATTCTTTGAGCCGTATGGTTCTATGAATTTTGACAAATGCATAATGTCATATATCTGCCATTACAGTATCACACAGTACAGTTTCCCCTATGCTTTACTTATTCATCCCTATCCCAACTCCCTCTCTATTAAAGACAGCTGTTACTAATAATAGTACTCAGAGAGTACAATCCCAGGGATTGATAGAAAGGATGTGAGACCTTTCCTGCATTAACAGTTGGGTAAGAATAATGGTAACTCAACCATGGCTGAGTTATCATTAACTCAACTGGACCAGCTAGGCATTTGGATCTTCCTAAGAAAGGATTAAAAACAGCTGGATCTATCTGCTGCTAAACCCTTGCACTAAATTCTTAATTTCGGTTTTGGGTTTTTCAGATTGAGGATTTATTTCTATTGGGTTATTTTCCAAATCAGTTATGCCACTTTCTATAGCTTCTAGTTCTCTCCAACATTTTTCAATCTTATGTTTTATGTCTTTGAAGATAACAAATATATTCATTTTGAAGTTCCTGTCTAATAATTTGGTCATCTGAAGCATCTATGGGTCTATTTCTAATTTTTATTATTTCTGTTGGCTCTTGTTCATGTCACATCTTGTCATGTACCTCCTTAACTTTGATGGTGTATTGGACATTGTATTTTTAAAACAGTTTGTGGAATCACTAAAGACTTAGGATTTCATTTACTTCTGCCAGGTGCCTATGGGCACCTGCATTCTGGTATCACTTTGTTCCAATTTTTGTGCTTGAGATTTCCTGGATCATACAAATGGCTTGGAACCACACAACAATCCATGTGATGGCTGGTTTACCTCTGTTTCACCTTCATACCCTACCCCTGGCTGCATCTCAATCCACTTTACCAACCCAAAGTATAAGGAGATTAGCAAGGACTCCACCTCTGGAAGGACTTGAACTCCAGTACTTTGTCCTCCTCAGCCCCACAAAGCAGTCAGCAATATGCATTTGCTCTGTCTTTAAGCCGCTCCTTCCTGAATGGCATATATCTAAATGCTAGGTTCATCTCTCTAAATTTTTACCTCTTTCTGGATCTTGGTCTAGTAATTCCTCACTAACTTGGCTTATCTCCAGTGCCTTCAAGCACAAGTTTTTAATATTTTGTCCAGTCCTAGTTGTCCTCAGTGGAAAAGGCAATGCTAATTACCTAGTTTGTCATTTCTGACAGCAGAAGTCTGAACAGGAACTTTCATTCTATGAATTTCACAAATATTTTGCCTCTTGTGGTCTTTAATATAATCAATTTTATATTGTGCACATACCAATCATCCTTTGGTATATGTGGGGAATTGGTTCTAGAACCCCCATGTATACCAAAATCCACACAGACTCCAGTCCTACTCTGTTGGTCCCCTGGAACCCATCTATAGGAAAAGTTGGCCCTCTGTATACATGGGTTTTATGTCCCCCGAATACTGTATTTTCTAACTGCGTTTGGTTGAAAAAAATTTGCATATAAGTGGACCTGGGCAGTTCAAACCTGTGCTGTTCAGGGGTCAACTGTATTCCCCTCCCCCCACCCCCATTAGAATGCTAGAGCTCTGTCTGACTCATGCAGCACCTGTCCCCTGCCCAGAATAATTATTTGTTAAATCGAAACAACCAGGCTTCTCTGATGCTTTTGATTGCTTATGCCCAAATCTCATCGTTTTAAATAAAATTTTATTCTTACATAATCATCATTAAAAGCACCTTTCCCTTTTCCACTTTCTTTCAACATTTACATAGTTTCTATGAGGAAAGGCCTATATCTACTTTGTGTCCATCTTTATTTGATTCTATTGTGTCATTTATTTGAGTTCAAGATGATCTTTATGCTTTCCAGATGTGCCTTATGGCATGCATATACACATTGTTTAACATTGTGATTCAGCGTTAATTTTATTTTGAAAATTTCATGACACTTCTTAGGAACGATCAATAGGATATCCAGCAAAAATAAGGCTGGGAACCACTAGGCTATATATACTCACTAGAAAGTGACAAGAACATTCCTGTGTACAAAGCAATAGTGGTTTTTAAAAATGTTTTTGTGTCTCTTTTTCATTTCAGTGCTTTTCCTTCACTAAGCAGGCATATGTGGAGTTGCGCAGTATTTCACTGGTATTTTTCTGTGGGGGAATACTTTGTACTACAAGACTGACTCTTCTGAAACTTTGGGGAACCAACAGCAAGGGATGTAAAAGCTAGATAAACGGCACTTATACATTCCAGTAGAGACCAGTTTTAGGGATTATATCTACGTCGACAATTGCTCGGGGAGAATCTCCTGATTCCCTAGATTTGTCCAGAATGCCACTGCCAATACTTTTCTAATATATTATATATTTCCTCTTTCTTAACAGATCTTATATCATTTGTTCAATGCATGCCTTCCTTGCTAAAGCTGAAACTCTTATTGCCAAGGACAATGTCTTCAATAAGTACAAGGTATACAGCAGCATTTTAATGGGTTTCCATAATCCAAGAGCTAAGATGGATTGTTCTTCATAACCCCAGGGGAAAGTAAGCTTTGTCTTTTCTGGATTCCATGCCGTCACCCAACTTGTCTTAGATTCTGACCATATAATTTGTGTAGGTAAAGCCTGTTCTAATCCTATCTCAAGAACCACAGCTATAATCAGTATCACTGGCCAGGGGCTGGTCAAATTTCTCACTCCTTTTGGTGCTAAGTGTCCCTCTGATACTCAGCAAAATGCTCACTGGTAACAAAATCAATCTTCAGTTATTCAGGGGCTGGTCATTCAGATTCCTTACTTCTCATATTCCCCCACTTCCCTCCTCTAACTATTCTCTAACTTCTGGCCTTCTCACTGGTAAAAATGCCATCAAAGGTTGGCCAGAGCAGGTGGGGAAAAAACTAACTAGTGGCCATTGTGATGGGCTAGGAACTCCAATGAGGCATATAAAGTTGGTAGAATGTTGAATCTCTATTTAAAAGTGTGAAGAACTTTTCCAATGATAACAACTAATCTTATTGGGGCACAGGAAAAGATCGTTTGTCCAATCAGTAATCACAGTTACCAACTGCCATCCTATGATCTTACCATAGTTGTTCCTCCACATTCTAGGCTGTTGATACTGTGCAGTCCCAGCTCTTCCATTCACTCAATCTGTGAGTTAGGACATGCTATTTCATCTCTCTGAGTCTCATTTCATCATCAAGAAAATAGAAACAATAACCTGACAGGTTTGCTTTGAAGATTACAGCATTCATTCTGAGAATGAAATAATATGTGAAAGTGCTCTGTCAATGTAGAGTGACACTCTAACTTTATGTTAACACTGATATTAATTGTTCATGATGTGAGTTTTAAATTAGGATGCTGTTTTCAGTTCTCAATGAGACAGATGTTCTACATGGGTTACAGTGATAAATCCTGGATTTTTGCACACTAAGCCAGTATACATGCCAAATTTCATATTAGTGCTTACCTTGGGAGGTTTCCTTAATGATGGGAAAAAAAAAATTCAGCAGCAGGGATACAGAGGGTTGTCAACACAGCAGCCACATCAGAGGGAAACAATGAAAGAGAAAAAAATAAGGTAAATTCAGCACCTTGATAACATGATCTGAAAGATATTCTTCTTCATGAAGATCAGAAGCCAAATTCAAACACATTACTGAATGAAGTGATAAACTCAATATTTGCTCAAAAACATGGTATGGGCATAATGAATTTCTCTCTTGGTTGCACAGAATGAATTCAATCATTCAGATATTTTTAATGACTTTTAAGAAATGCCAAAGGAAGAGCATCAAGATAAAGAAAGATGCCACAATCCTTACTGCATGTGATTAAATATTTTTAAATCAATTTTTATATTTAAATTTTTCTTAAATTTTTGTTAAAATATATGCATATTTTCCTTTGATAAATACATATACTCTAACATAATATATGTGGGAGTTTTTCTCATTTAAAAACCATGGTTTTAAATAACTCATATTTTTTAACACTGAATAGACATTTAAAAGCAAGTTTCCATTTTTTCCCCACCATCAGCCACACACGCACTTGTTAAAACGTTTGTTTTACACGTTAATAACTCAGAAATGACTGAAATTGCACCTGGAAAAAACTCTGAAAAGGAAATAGTTTTCTTTCTTTTTTTCTCCAGAGATGGGGTCTCACTTGGTTGTTCAGGATGGAGTGCAGTGATGTGATCATGGCTCAGTGCAACCTTGAACTCCTGGGCTCAACTGATCCTCCTACCTCAGCCTCCCACATAACTAGGACTATAGGTGTGTGCCACCACACCTGGGTAATTTTTTACTTTCTTAAGAGACACTATGTTGCCCCAGGCTGGTCTCAAACTCCTGACCTCAAGCAATCCCCCCACCTCAGCCTCCCAAAGTGCTGGGATTACAGGTGTGAACCACTGCATTTGGCTAGGAAACAGTTTTCAAGGCAATAAAATGTCAGTTTGACTTGCTTTGTAAATATTTTCTTCATGTATAAAATTAAGGAGCTCAATTATGATTTCTAAGTTATGCAATCTTATGACAGTTCTTGGCCTTCCTGATAGTTACTCTTGATCAACCTCTGATATCCTCAATTCATAAACTATAAAATTACTGTGAAAAAGAAATGGGGGCATTTACCCCATGGCTTTAATCATTCTTCATAGGAAATAGAATCATGGGGCTAAGAAAGTAGATTTTCCAGGGCAGAGGGCACGGAAAGGTATAGGCAAAACAGCAGGATGCTTTTTCTCCATCACTGGGTGCGACACTCCTTACAGAGCTCTGAGGGACTCGAACAAAACTGAGAGCTCAGTAGCAGGGAAAAAAAATGTCCAATCACATGCATAATTCTACGCTTTCGAGTGCAGGGAAGAAAAATCATCCCATTCCTATAATGATGAAGTTGAAACACCATTTTCTTGAAATTCCACGAATTAGTTGAAAGGGAATGAGCCCTTATTGCCTTATGTCATTCCCTCAGACAGACACAATGGGAATGTGATTTTTGTCTTCAGGTTTTAGAGGGGAACTAGAATAACTGGTATCTCTGGCTGCCATCAAGCAAGTCTCAACATATTTGTATGTCTACCCTTTAAAACAAGATAAACATTTATAGAGGTTATAAATAAAAATGCACAAGTGTTTTTAATTCTAAGGAAGTCATGGATTTCCATTCTGTACAAAAAACTTGAGATTTCTGCCATGAAAATTTCCTTAAGTGGAAGACAATTCAGGAAGGCCTCAGTTCTAAGAAGGTAGAACAATAATAAAACTTTATGAACCATATTTTTGACTAAACCTTCTCATTTTGCTTGCTTTATTCTTTAAAAGCCATGAAAATCACTGCTTTATTTAAAAGAGGAAAGAAAAGTCACTTGGGTTACAATAAGGCCATTATATGAAACAGCACAGACCAAAGGTAATTAAATATAGGTTTCCCATTTATGTTATGATGAACCCAGTAACCCAACGGGGCTGGGACAGACTAGGGGAATCCCAGTGAGCTCTCTGGAGTTCTCTTATGTGCCCTTTATGCCACAGCCACAGCACAATAATAACCACCACCAGCAGCAATGAACCAGTGCTGGTTTGTAGTCAGTAGTACGTTCACCTTCTTAGCTGTCAATAACAAAATTATCCTTTCTTCATTGACATTCCAAGAAGGTTTTCTTCATTCTTCTTAGAAAACCAATCCTATTTCAGCATTTTAAGCACTTTAAAAGTCTTTCTCACTTAGAAGATAGCCCATAACATGGGAATACCAATATAATTCTGCTACCTTCTTTTGTGTTTCTGAATAAATGCTTGTTAAGAACAAATTGAGACTGCGAAGAAAAGAAAAAAGGGAAGCCACAAAGCTCATCTGCTGCTACCCAAACTTACTCATCATTCATTTTAGAACAAGGACCCTTGCTACAGAAGGAAAAGTAAACCCTGTAGTGCATCATCACTGTACTTCATTCATTGATACATCCTCTACTTCATTCACTGATACAACCTGTACTTCATTCATTGATACACCCTGTAATTCATTCATTGATACACCTTTCTTAAGGTTTCTAAGGGACTCGAACAAAACTGAGAGCTCAGTCCAGGGGCCAGGCACAGTGGCTCACACCTGTAATCCCAGCACTTTGGGAGGCTGAGGCAGGCGGATCACAAGTTCAGGGGATCGAGACCATCCTGGTTAACACGGTGAAACCCCGCCTCTACTAAAAATACAAAAAATTAGCCGGGCGTGGTGGCGGGTGCCTGTAGTCCCAGCTACTTGGGAGGCTGAGGCAGGAGAATGGCGTGAACCCAGGAGGCGGAGCTTGCAGTGAGCCAAGATCGTGCCACTGCACTCCATCCATCCTGGGCGACAGAGCAAGACTCTGTCTCAAAAAAAAAAAAAAAAAAAAAAAGGTCCAATCACATGCATAATTCTACACTTTTGAGTGCAGGGAAGAAAATTATCCTGCATGAGGTGATGGGCTGCTCACTCATCCTAACTCAGACTCAAGGTTACTGCCCCAAACTCTAGAGGCTATATGTCCTTCTTTGGTAGTTGTGAAGAAAAATGTTTCCAGTATCAGTAATACTGACACTATAATCAAATATAGTATGCTATCCTTTAGGGAAAAAATGTGATATTACAATGTAAAAATAAAAAAATTCATATACTTATGAAATATTATCTTAATCTTCATCGCTTTCATATATATAAACTACTAAAATAAACTTAACAGGCTGAGATTGCTTCAAGGTCCTGGGTTTCTACATAAACAAAACAAAACTTAAACTCAGCCAATCACTGCCAATCACCAGCAGCCAACTGAGCATTAGTTATATAATCAAGAATTTTCCACTGGGACAGTACAAATAAAATAACTACTCAAACTTTAACCAATCAAATAATTTATTTGCTTGCCTTCTGAGTTCACCCTACAAAAGCTTTCCCTTCATGCCCCTTCAGTGGAGTCCCAAACCCCTTCCATTTTGGAGCTGCCCAAATCATGAATCACTATCTGCACAAATAAATTATTTAAAATTTTAATGTGCCAAATTCATCTTTTAACAATATGGAAAACAAATGAAATGAGAATGAATAATATAAACATCTATCAGATTCAACATAAACCATACTAAACACATATTTTAAAAATTATGGGCTGGGCATGGTGGCATGAGCCTATAATCTCAGCTACTAGGAAGGCTGAGGCATGAGAATTGCTTGAACTCAGGAGGCAGAGGTTGCAGTTAGCTGAGATCACGCCACTGCACTCCTGCCTGGGTGACAGAGCAAGACTCAATCTCAAAAATAAATAAATGGCCTTTTGTTGATTGTATCAGTCAAAGCCATGACTCTTAGTCAAGTACAGACTACTGTTGAGATACCTGTGTGGCTTCATTACAGAAAGAGGCAATGATTTTGTTCAGTAAATATCTAGTGAACCAAAAAAGAACATCCCTTGAAACAGACCTAAGTGACCCCGACACATAGGTTTGATTGCTGACTCCTTAGAAAACAGCATTTCACTAACACTTGCCTAAAGGTGTGTTTATTTCTGACCACTCTCCAATGCCCATCCTCCCCTTCATTCTCCAAAACATCCTTGCTTTTAATCATGTGGACTTCTCTAAGTATTCAAGTATTAGTATTTTTGTATATTCCAAATAAATAAACTAAATACAATTTGACATTTTAGAAGACATTCTAGGTTCCAGGATTTGGAGAGAAAATAAGGAGAGACAGTTCTTATTTTCCACATTGATAGTAGTTCTATTTTTGTAAAACACAAAAGCTCTTCTTCTCTTCCAGGACAAGCAGTTTGATCTCTTCCAGGTCACCCACACCATGAGTTTTTACCACACAACTCATGCAATTTACATGCCTTTACCCCACTTTGTCTTTCCACTCTGCCGGATCATACCTGCCCACTCTTGAAGACACAGTTCAAGGCTCAGCTCTCTCAATTCCTCACCAGCCTTGAAGACTATCTTGGCCTTCACTACTTCTACTATCCCAAGACTCCTAGGGTCGACAAAACAGCTTAGCACTTATTGGCACACATAAAGTTCTGATGCCTTCAGTAACTGTCTGCATTTGAGTCTCATATATCTTTAAGATGTAAACCCCTTGAAAACAGAGGCCAGGTCACGTGGTATATAATCCCTGTCCCCAATCCCATCTATTCATGTAGGGCTGAGTACAGAATAAGAACTCAGAAATAATTTTTTTACATTAGTGAGTTAAACATAATCCAGTTGTGAGGATTTACTTAAATCACCACCACAATCCTACAATTTTGGGGCAAGACTGCCTGCATTTAACAGCAGTGAAGACTTCAGAGACTGTCAGAAAATGCAGAATATTTCTGATAACTTACTTAAAAATAATCATTTCTCTAGACCAGCATTTCACAAGCATAGAAATTGAACGGGATGTTAACAAAGGTCAAGCCCTTAAAAAGCTTCTGACATCAACTAAATTGAGAAATGCTGCTGAACACAGTTAAATATGGGTTTCTTTATGGCAGTACTTTTCAGAGACTTTGACATGCTAATATATGTTGTTACTCTCCTTGCATATTCAATGCAACATTTCAACAGCAGCATTCCCCAAACTTATTTGATAACAGAATTTTCTTGGAGGAACATATTTTGGGGGAAATGTATCAATGATTTTGATAAACAAACAAAAAGGTATTTTAAAGGATGCAATGGGATTTCCATATTGCAACAAATCTAGCAGCTCAATAATCTCAGGTATTGACATAGTATGGCTAGAATTTAGGATGAACAAAAAAAGGTTGCTATTAAAAATATACACAATTATCAGAGAAAAATAAGTTTTACGTGACTTTTGAAATATATATTTATGTAAGTGCTTTAAGAGGTACAAACAAAATGGCACAAGAACTCACAGAACAGAGCGATCAAAGCTGAATGCAGGCACAGGGATGGGGATGTGGTGGTCAAGAAGAGAGAGGATCTGGAAAGGGTCTTCAAAGACAGGGAAGACTGACAGGCAGGGATGTGGGCCATTTCTAATAGAGGTGATTTTGTTAGCAAAAGTACTTAAATGAAAATATTCTAGGTGTCTTAGCAAGGGTTCAGTTTGATGAGATTATAGAGTAAATGGGGGGAGCGGGGGAACACTAGAAAACAGTACAGTTGCCAGGCGGCGTGGCTCATGCCTGTAACCCCAGTAATTTGGGAGGTGGTTAGGATCACTTGAGGTGGGAGGATCACTTGAGTCCAGGAGTTCAAGACCACCCTAGGCAACACAGTAAGACCCCATCTTTACTAAAAATAAAAAAAAAAAGTAGTTGGGTGTGGTGGCACATGCTTGTAATCCCAGCTACATTGGAGCCTGAGGCAGAAGGATCCCGTGAGCCCAGAAGGTGGAGGTTATAGTGAGCCATGATCGTGCCACCGCACTCTGACTTGGGTGACAGAGTGAGACTCTGTCTCAAAAAAAATAATAAAAATAAAGAAAAAGAGGCCAGGTGAGGTGGCTCATGCCTGTAATCCCAGCACTTTGGAAGGCTGAGGTGGGTGGATCACTTGAGGTCAGGAGTTCAAGACCAGCCTGGCCAAGATGGTGAAACCCCATCTCTGCTAAAAATACAAAAATTAGCCGGGTGTTGTGGCACATGCCTGTAATCCCAGCTACTCAGGAGGCTGAGGCAGGAGAATCACTTGAACCTGGGAAGCGGAGGTTGCAGTGAGCCGAGATTGCACCACTGCACTCCAGCCTGGGTGACAGAGTGAGACTGTGACTTAAAAATAAAAAAGAAAAGAAAAAGAAAACAGTAAAGATAAATTGGACCTATACTTGGACAGGTCTTGAAAGGAGAAGTCTGTACTTAATTTAGTAGGTAGTACAGACCTGGAAAGTTCAATAAGGAGGACTAAAATAAAGGAGGATAAATAGCCTGTTGCAACAACAGCAATAAAAATCCTAAACAGCTGAAGTTCCTTCCCCACACTTCACTCTGAAAGATATCTGGGTCAAGGAGTCCTCTGACCACTGTTTACAGCATATTGACTATAATTAGCTACTTAGAAGTTTGGTGGCCAAAGGCCCTGATGTACAATGCCCTACGACGTGTGTGATCAGAGAAGTATCTTCTGAACCAGAAATTTCTCTTTCATGTATTAAAATACTTTATTAATTGTTGGAAATGGCTGCAACCTAGATCTGAAAGATATACAGTTAAATAGCATTTGCCTCCTGGAAATTAGCCTAAGGACATATTCCTTATTATGAAGCCTCTGACTGTCAATTCCAACTTGGAGAACTAAACAGGTCATCGAAATCTTCTAAGTCAAACTTGCCCAACCCGTGGCCTACGGGCCTCATGGGGCCCAGGACGGCTTTCAATGCAGCCCAACACAAATTTGCAAACTTTCTTAAAACATTATGAGATTCTTTTGTGATTTTTAAAAAAAATTTTTTTAAGCTTATTAGCTATCATTAGTATTAGTGTATTTTGTGTGTGGCTCAAGACAATTCTTCTTCTTCCAATGTGGCCCAGGGAAGTCAAAAGATCAGACACCCCTGTTCTAAGTATTCTCCTAATCAGCAAGTATTTATTGAGTACTAACTCCCACAATGCATATTAGGAGTGCTTTGAGGGAATATTTAGAGGAATTAGGCATGGTCTCTGACATCCGGAAGCTTAAAACCATGCAAGAGAGACAGATACATACATGAATAATTAATATTAAGTGGATGGTGATAAGTGTGACAACAGAGACAGGAATGAAGAGCTATGTTCAGTCAACAAACATTTCACATGCACTGTCTGCCACTTTGTTGGGATACAAAAATAAATTAGTCTTTTTGTCTTTCAAACAAGAAACTGATTTTTTATACATATATCACAAAACAATATAAAGTGCACAGCAGCTCTCCAAAAAAGCGGGGGATTCACTGGGCAAAGAGGGAATTTTGTTGGAGGAGAAACGCCTGGAGCAGAATTTAGGAGGACTTAATAGGAATTCACCAAGCTGACAAGCCAAAGAAATGTTATCCCAATAGGGGGAATCATCTGTGCAAAAATCACCAGAGAACACAGCTCATTTGAGGGCCACAGACTCATGGGATTGTTCTGTTGCCAAGCTCAGCAGTTAGACTACAGTTAGCAGAGAAAGTGAGACCTGGGATGATGGTATAGGGATGAGGTTTTGCAGGACAGTAGGTACCATTTTCAATCAGGATTTATGAACTGTAGTTTGGAGATAAGTTTATATACTTTTCTATCAATAATCTAACATTACCTACATTGAAAACATACAACAAATGCTTCTATGAATTATAAAAAGTAGAAGGGGTTACATAAGCATCTGGAAGACCTTTGAAACCTATCACAAGAAGAATGCAAATTTCAAAAACTTTAAGTTCCAAGATAAAGCCTGGTTTGAAAATTTTAAAAAAGAGAGTCATCAGATGATCAAACCTACAATCACTACAGTAAAATTTTCTGAACATGTGAAGAAGCTGATTCATTCAAGAGACATGCCACCAAGTTTGTTTTGGAAGAATACTGGGTAGATCATTCAGAATCTACTAAGTTTAAGTATATGCTTAATGTCATTTTCTAATTGTTTTTCTCCTAACCCCTTATTTCCTCTAAGACTTTGATCTCACTGCCTATGGTGCTTTGCTTTTTCTTTTCCTTCCCTCCCTCCCTCCCTGCCTTCCTTTCTTCCCCCTTTCCCTTTCCCCTTCCCCCTTCCCTTTCCCTTTTTCTCTTTCTTTCTTCTTTTTTTTTTTTTTGGAGGAGATCTCACTCTGCTGCCTAGGCTGGAGTGCAATGATGTGATGACAGCTCATTGTAGCCTCAACCTCCTGGGCTCAAGAGATCCTCCCATCTCAGCCTCCCAAGTAGCTGGGACTACAGGTGTGCACTACCACACCCAGCTAATTTTTGTATTTTTTTGTCAAGACAGGGTCTTGGCATATTGTCCAGGCTGGTCTCGAACTTCTGGGCTCAAGCAATCCTCTTGCCTCAGCCTCTCAAAGTGAGGCTGAGATTACACGCATTAGCTACTATGCCTGGCTGCTGTGGTACTTTTCAAGAACACTATTCTTGCAGTTGGTGAGGGGAAGCTACGGTTCCATGAGAATACCTGGTAGGGCAAGAATTGGGTAGAGAAGGAAGTAAAGTCAGGAGGATGACAGACTGGGAGAAAACGGCAGAGGTAAGACACTCATGGTCTGGATACAATTCAAGAATAAAGATGCAGAGGTGCTGGGTGAGATAAGATGCTACAGTCAACAAGTGAAACCTAACATTTCAGAGGTAGCACATTTCAGGGTTGTAAATTCTAACCTGGTCATATAGTATATGTCTGTGAATTGAAATGGATGATCATTACTTTAATTAATAGCTAACACTTACTGAGTTCTAATTATGTGCCAGATAGGTTTCTGTTACTATCTGCTTTAACTCACTTAACATATTTAATGACCCTATACATAAAAACTCTCATTATTATCATTTTTCAAATAAAAAATACTGAGGAACAAGGTATACAGATTGCATGACTTTCACAAGATCATAGTTAACTGGCATCAGTACCATGATTCAAACCCAGGCAGTCTCTGGCTGGAGCACACTGTACACTTAACTGCTATTGAGTATTGCCTCTCTGGCATCAAAGAATTTGGTGAGAGCTCTTTCAGCTTAGGCTAGGTATTGATTGGATAGCAATCCATGTGGATGTTCAATGATGTGGATCATTCATGCTTACAAGGGTTATCCATGTGGTTAATAGCATGAATTAGCCCTTCTGTGTCCTTCATGAATGTGCAGGAGAAGCCTACACAGAGTGAACCTCCAAGAAGGAAAGGCATTTATGGAAAAAAAAAAAAAAGGAACTGGTATGACAACGTGGAGTTAGAAGGCTGCAAACGACTACTTCCTGCTGAGGTAGTAGGAAACTGAGGGCCACTGAAGAGGGGTATAAATAAAGCCACAAAAATGTAGATGCAGATGTGTTGGGAGCAAATCCTAGGCAGAAGGACAGCTGGAACAAAGCTAGAGTGCACAGGATATGTTCAGGGAATAGCAGGTAGACAGAATGTAATTGAGAGCCATACAGCTGGAAGAATAGACAAGAACCAAAATGCAGACAGCATTGACTGCCATGATGACTCAGCCTTTTCTCAGAAGAAATTGCCACAGATGGTTTGCGCAATGGGAATGACATGGCCAGATCTGTTTTAGGAGGGTGAGACTCAAGCGTGAATGTAAGAGGCCACACCATCTAGAGTCAGCAGTGAGACACGCACTGGTGAGCCTCTGCCTGGCACCAACTGCAGCCCTCACCGTGTGTAAGTTAAGACACTACTGCAAGGACAAGACAAAAAGTAGGACAGAAAGACAGAACACAAAGACAACTTGAAGGAAAAATCTGTAAGACTTGTTGAGTGTGTGCCCCCTCCACCTAGCCACTCCACCATGTCTACAAAGATTGAACGACTGCCCCACAGTGTGAAGGGACTTTCCACATGGGACTTCAGTCACAGACCTTGAAGCAGACCTGATGGAATGAATGAAGAAAAAAATGGCTTCCTTTCAATTGATACTTATTATATTGTTGACAGATTTAAAAATTAATTGAGGCTGGGCATGGTGGCTCATGACTATAATACCAGCACTCTGGGAGGTCACAATGGGAGGACTGCTTGAGCCCAGGAGTTCAAGACCAGCCTGAGCAACAGAGTAAGACCTTGTCTCTACTAAAATTGTTTTTAAAAATCAGCCAGGTGTGATGGTGCGTGCCTATAGTCCCAGCTATTCAGGAGGCTGAGGTGGGAGGATCGCTTGAGCCCGGGAGATTGAGGCTGCAGTGAGCCATGGTCATGCCACCGCACTCGAGCCTAGGCGACAGAGCGAGACTGTCTTAAAGAAATAAAATTAAAATGAACTCAAAATACACTTGTAATTTTAAAAAATGCTAATCCTGATATGCCTTCTTAAAAAAAAAAAACCCTGTTTCTTTTTAAAAAATTACCAGTTAATCTATTTTCATTTTCAATAAAACTCAAAAAGAAAAACAACTAATTTTGTACTGAAGCAGACAGACTTGTGGTTTGATTTTTTGGACTACTTTGGTATATTTGAACTACTTCCTTCTGGCATAACTGTATTTGGCTTAATTCTACAAGATATAATGAAGCACAGTGGTGAGGAGTTCAGGATTGGGGGTCAAACAATCCTAGCTCTGCCTTGATCTAGCCATGTTGACCTTGGACAAGTTTACTCAACCGCTGAGTCTCAGCCTCTAAAGCGGGAATAGAAGAGCACTCCTTTAGCACTGTTGAAGGATGGCATGAGGTGGCGTGGGTAATGCTGTACATCATTAGCATGCAGAGTTATTGCTCAATAAATGTTAGATGCCATTGCTGTTGTTACAACAAATAGTCCTCCTCAATTATACACGCAAAATGTCAACATTGCTGAAACTAAATTTCATCTGGGAAAAGGGTACTGGGGAGCTGAAGAATGACAGAACTTATAAAACAGGGTTCTTTCCCTGAAGAAAAGAAAGGTTTTTGGCTGGGTGCTGTGGCTTATGCCTGTAATCCCAGCACCTTGGGAGGCCGAGGCGGGTGGATCAACTGAGGTCAGGAGTTTGAGACCAGCCTGGCCAACATGGCGAAACCCTGTCTCTACTTAAAATACAAAAATTAGCCGGGTGTGGTGGCGCGTGCCTGTAGATCCAGCTACTTGGGAGGTTGAGGCAGGAGAATCGCTGAACCCAGGAGGCGGAGGTTGCAGTGAGCCAAGATCACGCCACTGCACTCCAGCCTGGGCAACAGAGTGAGACTCTGTCTCAGAAAAAAAAAAAAGGAAAAAAAAAAGGTTTTAAAGAAAATATGTATGATAGAGGAAGGGAAAGAATGGAGAATGGGGGACCAGGTATGGTGGCTCATGCCTGTAATCCCGGCACGTTGGGAGGCCAAGGCAGGCAGATCACTTATGGTCAGGAGTTCAAGACCAGTCTGGCCAACATGGTGAACCCCATCTCTACTAAAAACACAAAAATTAGCCAGGTGTGGTGGTGCGTGCCTGTAGTTCCAGCTACTTGGGAGGCTGAGGCAGGAGAACCTGGGAGGCAGAGGTTGCAGTAAGCCGAGATTGCACGACTGCACTCTAGCCTGGCGACAGAGTGAGACTCCGTCTCAAAACAAAAAAAGAGAGAGAGAGTGGGGAAAAAAAACTCTGGAAAGAATTATATAAATATGTATAAAGTTGGACACATTTATAAGAACTAAACTATGATATTAATTTCTTCAGAAAAGAGCCAAGAGCAGTATGCTACAAACACTTCAGGACAACCACACCTGACATCTGGTCTCACATACAGCCATACCTACATGTAAGGTACAATACAGCTCCATGACAGTGAAACTGAGGCCAAGGTAACTGACAAAATGGACATAGGAATAACAGTCTAAAATTTAACAATAGTCCGTATTTAAAAATAGATCCAACATTTTAAAATGTGCATTTACTTTCTCAATTTGATAAGTAGTGGGTATTACCCATATCGCTAGCTAGAGAACATAGAAGTACTGTCTCATTACCTGAAAAGATAGAGAACCTAGAAGTACCGTCTCATGACCTGAAAAGCTGGCAATAAAAGGTGAAGCAAACACATGGTCTATATGTGTATTTCCAAAATTAGAAACAGAAACCAAGGGACCAAACAGCTTTCAGTTTCCTTTCCCAAAACAGCTTGAATTTTTGAGTACCAAAAAGTAGGATATTATTACCAATGTAAGAGGTATCCTACAGGCCAGAATCAAGCATTTATAGTTTAATAGTTTGACTACTGAAGTCCAATGAAATGAATAGTAAGACAATTTTTTTTAAAATTAACTGTTAGTTTTTGTCAAAAAATTTTTTAAATTAACTGTTAGTTTTTGTCAAAAATGTTGTCTGCAATAAAGATGTGCCAACTTTATAACAGAAGCAATAAACTTCTGAAATAAAGTCAGTAACAGCAAAGTCTTAAAATTCTCACCACAGGGTTTCTAATAAATTCAAGGTTTTTTTTGGTTGTCGTTGTTGTTGTTTTGAGACGGAGTCTCGCTCTGTTGCCCAGGCTGGAGTGCAGTGGTGTGATCTCAGCTCACTGCAAGCTCCGCCTCCTGGGTTCATGCCATTCTCCTGCCTCAGCCTCCTGAGTAGCTGGGACTACAGGCACCTGCCACCATGCCCAGCTAATGTTTTTGTATTTTTAGTAGAGACGGGGTTTCTCCGTGTTAGCCAGGATGGTCTCGATCTCCCGACCTCATGATCCGCCCGCCTCAGCCTCCCAAAGTGCTGGGATTACAGGCATGAGCCACCGCGCCCAGCCTAAATTCAAGTTTTATAAGTTAATTTCATTATTTTAAAACTCTGATGATCCCAAAAACTCTTTTAGAGGTATAACAGTTTATAAATATAATACAATGAAATTCTAATGTTTTGAATTAGTATTTTTCTTTCTGCCCTGTGCACATTATCTGGCACTCAGCAAGACTCAAGTTTTGACACATAGGCCAAACCATCTCCACTGACTGAGGGGTGAAACCCAGAGTAGTGACCCTCCACCACTGACCGCAGCCCTTCGGGTGTGCATCAAATGCCTTGCAAATAATTTGTATTCAAACAATTCTTGTTAGAGGACTCAGTCAACCTATCAGTGAGTTACCAACCTCTCCTGATATCAGGTTCCTCTCCACTATGACAAGAGTAACTATAAATACACTTCTAATAAAAACTTTGTTGGATAAAAACACTTTTTTAAAATAAAAGAAATTTAATGTCACTCAGGTTGAGTTTAAAATCTAAAATACAAGCTTTCTTTACAAACATCACATGTTCTCACTTATTTGTGGGATCTAAAAATCAAAACAATTAAACTCATAGACTCAGAGTGTAGAAGGATGGTTACCAGAAGCTGGGAAGGGTTATGGGCCGGGGGTTGTGGCGGGGGGTGGTTAATGGGTTAAAAAAAAAAAAAAAGAATTAATAAGACCTACTATTTCATAGCACAGCAAGGTGACTATAGTCAATAATAATTTTTTTTTTTTTTGAGACAGATTCTCACTATGTAGCCCAAGCTGGAGTACAGTAATGCGATCTTGACTCACTGCAACCTCCACCTCCCGGGTTCAAGCGATTCTCGTGAGTCAGCATCCCAAGTAGCTGGGACTACAGGAATGCACCACCATGCCCAGCTAATTTTTTGTATTTTAGTAGAGACGGGGTTTCACCATGTTGCGCAGGTGGTCTTGAACTCCTGAGCTCAGGCGATTACCCCGTCTTGGGCTCCCAAAGTGCTGGGATTACAGGCATGAGGCACCGGCCATCAATAATAATTTAACTGTACATTTAAAAATAACTAAAAGAGTATAATTGGATTGTTTGTAATATAAAGGATAAATGCTTGAGGGGATGGATACCCCATTCTCCATGATGTGATTATTACGCATTGCATGCCTACATCAAAACATCTCATGTACCCTATAAATATATATACCTACGACATACCCAGAAAAATTAGAAGTTAAAAAAAAAATACAAGCTTTCTTTTGCAACTGAGGTACCATCACTTGATAGAGTGACAGAAGAACATTCAGAAACCAAAATTTCCCCTTCTGGGAAAGAAACCCAGGTTCAGTTCTATCACCCAAACTGGGAGTGATCTTGATAACAGCATCAGCCTGCCTGACCTTCCGTAGGACGCAGGTTTGAATCAGACACCTATACTTCAAGCTCCCTGCACTTGGAGCCTGGACTTCCCTGGCTTCCAACTGTTCTCACCCTAAGCACTTATTAGCATATAGACAATGCTTATTAAATTCTACTGAATAAACCAACAGAACCCCCATTTCCCATTTCTTTATTTGGGACATGCCACCCTTGTTGAGTTTTATCATGCATCTTCAAGTCTCTTTTTTCCATCTCTGACTTCATGTTTGTTTTTAAAACTATCTTACAGTAAGTCTATTGATGGCTGGAAGAAGGGATCACATGAAAATAAACACATCCTCCCAGTAATGATTTGGAAGCACTGAGAAAAGGTTACTTGTTTCTCATGGTATCCTCCCTGTCCAGGTACTGGCCTCTGAACAGAGAAACTCCAAACAGACACTGATGGTAAAAGGAGAATTTGTTGAGAACATATTTCTATAATTTCTCCTTTTCAGAACTCTTCTGAAACTTCAGACTTCCTTATATCTAATCTTTTTATTTTTCTAATTATTTTTATTTTTTATACGAGATAGGGTCTCACTATATTGCTCAGGCTGGTCTTGAACTCCTGGGTTCAAGTGATCCTCCTGCCTTGGGCTCCCAAAGTGCTGGGGTTACAGGTGTGAAACAGTGCTCAGCCAAATACATAAACATATATATATATATTTATATATTTTAAGCATCTTGTAGCTTCTGAATAAACTGAGACTGGTCCCTTTTACTAAGAGAATACTCTGAACTCAGAATAGCAAAGGGCAGGCAGGACGGGATTACGGGAGGAGCAGGGAGCTGGAATGTAGCTGTTCCCAGGACGGATTCTGAAACATTCTATGGGTTTGGGAAACTCACAGAATTTTCAGAATTCGTGGATACTAACATTTTATACACAGTGGGCACTCAATAATTAGTTGAGTATTTTTCTTTTCAATGAATCAACTTCTTATGCTTAAAATAATCTTGCATGGGTACTTCAAACATTCCTTGCTCTTACAGCAATTTAGCCACATGGAGCTGGAGCCTGTTCCAAAAAGTGCAAAATGGAAGAACTTCACCATTATTAAAAAGTTCCACCCCTGCTATTCCAGCAGGAGACACAAGATTTAGGAGAAATGTTATATTGAGAGGCAGGTGAGGACAAACAGCTGTCTGTGTTTCCTTCATTCATGTTCTCAACTCAAAGGATGCATAAGGAGGGGATGGTGAACTCAGCTGAGCCCTGGAAGTTGCAGGGTGTTTGTCAGTAACATCAGGGAAGAAAGGATCTGGTGTCAATCCACCGAGGGGGGATTGACTAAGTCATTCATCGACAATCTCCTGAAACTGAAGGAAAATCCACAGGGACCGGGATTGATGGAGACGCAAAATGGGACAGAAAGGCGGGCTGAGGAAACCAACTTTCAGGGAAGTGGTTATTACCTGGATGGAATCTGGAAACACCACCCAGCCCTGAGCTCATCAAAGCACAAGCTGAGGCTCAGTGCCAGCCTGTTTGTCAACTGTTGCTGGATCCCAGAGGAGAGATAACAATGTCTTCCAAGGTATGGGCCACAATCTCACCTTCCTTTAGAGGTCACATGCCACGATACCTCCCTCCCCTCAACACTTACAAAAGTATCAGTCCCTGATGGAATTCAAAAGGAAAAAGAAATGGTCCTTTATCACAGATGTTTCGAGAAGCACATAATCCAAGGCCATTTCTTAGTCTAAAGAATGTTCAGGTTAGAAGGCAAATCTCAAGTACCCATTACTAAATGCCAGAATAAGTGAAACATTTTAAATTTTTATTGCTTTTAAACTACATTATTTATAGTGACCCTTGTTTTTCACTAAAAAAGTGATGCTCTCTCTTCTGAAAGTCTTTAAAATATGCTGCCCAGAAGCTGAGTAGAATTAATTCAGAATAGATTTTCATTTCTATGCAATCAACCAGTTAATATAATTAAAAAAAATTACAATAAAATACAAAACTTGAGATGAATATGAGTACATCCACAATAACTATTAATTTAACACAATAATGTTTACATGGTCTATATGGGCATTTGCAAAATTAAAATCATACACATGCAAATGGGAAGTTTTATAAGATACATGACATTATTTTATGAAATCACTATCCACCAATAACGGATCCTCAGCCCTTTTTTCAAATGTCCTTCTGAAAAACAACACAGAGACGACTCTAGTCACGGGTCACAGGCATCAGGTAAAGTGTGTGGCAGGGTCTCTGTGGAGCAGGGTCTCTGTAGGGTGTTCTCCAGGCCACCTCACAGAGCTCCTGCTGCTAATTGCCATGGCTGCAATTCCCAGTTTGGGCGAGCCTAGTAAGAAACTCACCCTGCGTTAACCAAAACAAAATTAAGCAGAGAAAACATGGCTCTTGTGCAATTCTCTTGTCATGTCTTCAAAAGTATCACACAGTGAGGCTTTCCCAAAATGCAGCATGAAGCATCAAGAATTAAGCATCCCTGTGAGGTCATTCTCAGGATGAAATACACACTGGCCTATCTGCCACTATTAAAGACTTGACTTCAATTAATACACCTTCTGATGGACTCATACATTTAACTACCTGGTTTTGGTTTTATTTCCAAGATTGGTTTTCCATTTATGTGAGAGCTTGTACCTTGAGAGCATTTATCTATGGTAGCATAAGAGATAATATATTTGACTTTTCTACATTAGGGAGTCAGAACCAAACTTCATGCTCCATGTAATAGCTTCAGGGTTATTAGCTGAATAATCCCTTAGGTTACAGTTGAGACACACAAACGGCCTTTTATGAGAGTCAGTCCAGGAGCAGGGATGCAGAAGCCAGACTGCCCAGGTTCCATTCTTGCCTCCACCACTTTGTAGGGACCTTGGACCTGGTGCTTAAGCTCTCAGTGCCTCAGTTACCTCACCTGTCAAATAGAGCTGGTGTGGGGTTAAGTGAATTAACATATTATAAAGCTTTTAAAAGCAGCAGAGTAACACACGCGATGCAAGGCCCCTCATTTTCAGCCATTTATTTTACCTACAAACTTCTTTTCTCCATCTTCCATAGAAGCAGCTGTCATTGCTGATGCCAGATGCTTGCAGTTTGACAGCGTGCAGGACCTGCCACCTTGAGGACTCTGGGAGCAAGAGACCCCCTGACTCAGCAGCCTACTGATTCTGTAGGACATCACTGCAGAACCATGTAGTTTCAATGTCACATCGAGTTGAATCACCAGGACAGGAAAATTACAGTTCAGGCCAGGCACAGTGGCTCACGCCTGTAATCGCAGCACTTTGGGAGGCTAAGGCAGGTGGATCACTTGAGTCCAGGAGCTTGAGACCAGCCTGGGCAACATGACAAAACACCGTCTCTACTAAAAAGACAAAAATTAGCTGGGTGTGGTAGCAAGAGCCTATAGTCCCAGCTACCCAAGAGGCTGAGGTGGTAGGATCATTGCAGTAAGCCAAGATGGCACCACTGCACTCAAGCCTGGGTGACAGAGAGCCAGTCTCAAAAAAAAAAATAAAAATAAAAATAAAATAAAATAAAATAAATTACAGTTCAAATGAATCCCATGTCTATTACAAATGAGATTTTAGGAGGCATGCTAACTGGGCAGGATGGCGTTTCTCATCCTGATTCCCAATACAGACCTGGGAGCTACAAATGAGTCTCTGCCAATGACATGTCTGTGACAAAAGTCACACTAGTGGCAAGCGTTCATGGCAGTATTATTCTCTAGGTTAGGAAATATGACATTAAAAATCTTCATTGTGGACAGCAAACTAGGAATACAAGGATTTTGATTCTAGACCTACATAAACCTAAAAGCAGTCAAGGGGGGATCCAAGGACCCATTTTAAATTACATCCAACCACATTACAGAATAAATAAATGGGTAGGTAATAAGGAGCTTGCCCTCATGTGAAACCTCACTGTGTATATGACTTTCCTATAACGCCTGTTACCTTCCCAGAGCAGAATTCACTATGAGGCAAACCTGAGACCAATCTAAGGATGGCTAAAATAAGGTTGCAAGTTTCTCTTCCTGTTATGCTACAAACCCCATCAGGCTAGCTGCCATGTCTGAATCGGTTTTTATTACCTGCATTCCACTTAACAGCATTTTATTTGAATCTACTATTTATGCAGTTAAAAAGAAACAAATCTTTTTTCCATTAGACAAACTCACAACATAGACCCAATGAACACCATTATGATGATGGAATTCTTCAGAATAACACAGTCTCCTCAAATTGTATAGGAAACTCATTATTTGTGCAAGATATTTAGAGATTCACAACAACAGGAAAATACAAATGAATGGACAGGTTAAGAAATTTATTTAGTTTAGAGGAGAGCCCCAGGTATGAACAAGTGGCATTAAACTTTGCAGATTCTCCTATTAATATAACCCTGAGTATTATTGGTGAAGTAACAGTAGTGTAGTACTGCATTAGCAACTTAGTTCTCTCTTCCAAAAGGCATGAAGAAGGGAAGAATCTGTTAAATATTCGAAACTCATAATCTCAATACAACAAGCTATAAATAAAGCCACCATTACTATTGCAATACTTGAATGGACCAGGTCAACTTTACAAAAAAAAAAAAAAAATTCCCCACTAGACACTGTGCCCATAACCTTCATGGAGCTGCCACTGGGCTTGGTGTTGCTGTCCCCAAGATCACTAGAGACTGTGCTGCATTTCCATGATGCCAGAACACTTTACTCACATATTCTACTCTACGGGAAGGAGGAAAACGGAGGGGGAACTAACATTATTGAGCATATTCTACATTTTACACGATTCTTTTTTTTTTTTTTTTTTTTTTTGAGACAGAGTCTCGCTCTGTTGCCCAGGCTGGAGTACAGTGGCACGACCTCAGCTCACTGCAACCTCTGCCTCCTGGGTTCAAGCGATTCTTGTGCCTCAACCTCCCGAGAAGCTGGGATTACAGGTGCCCGCCACCACGCCCAGCTAACTTTTGTATTTTTAGTAGAGACGGGGTTTCGCTATGTTGCCCAGGCTGGTTTCAAACCCCTGGCCTCAAGTTATCCACCTGACTCAGCCTCCCCAAGTGTTGGGATCACAGGCGTGAGCCACTGCACCTGGCCTTACACATGGTTCTTGACACCTTATCTTATTCATCAATCCTTACCACTATTGAGGTGGACTCATTAGCTCCATTTCTCAGATGAGTAAACTGCTCACAAGACTAAGTAAAAGGCAAAACTAGGATTAAAACCTAGTTCAGGGCCTTTAATATATCCCCTTAACAACGTAGCTAACTTTGCAACCAGAATTATCTTTTTCAAATAAATTTCCTATCATTTACCTGGCTTAAAATCCTGCAACAATGCCTTAATGCACTTGGGATAAACAAATACCAAGTTCCAGATTGTCGTCTGTAGGATATGGTAAATGCTGCCCACCTTTCCCAGCTCCCATTTCCTTTCCACCCTCCAAGAATTCATAACACTTCCACTTTGGAGGCTTCAAGCTACTGCCCCCTCTGCCAGGAATACCCTCCCCTGCTGGTTCTTTCTCCCCCTTGGTCCAGAGAGGCATTCCCTGACCTTCCTGTCCTGGAATTCTGTTTCCTCGTGGCACCTGTTGCACTTTCTCGGAGTCATGGTTTGTTGTCTGTCTTGTCCCCTTTACAGAGCTGCACCAACAGGATGCCTAGGTCTGCCCTGCTTGGTGTCATGGACCCCACACCAGGCACATGGTAAGCACCTGGCCTGGCTAGAGACACCCATCTCGTTCCAAGCAGAGGCCGGGTCACACTCACCCTGGGTTCTCTCCTATCGGGTCTGGCATAGTGCTTGACGTGCAGCAGAGGATAAATGTTTACTGAATAAATACATACATGCATAAAAAATAGTCTCAGAACTGTAGACCAAAAGAATGTAAATGTCCCACACTGCCATTTATGACAAGTTGTACTTAAACGGCAGCCTATTTTTACATAAATAACAGTTACATTTATTTTACTACTACAGAAAAATGATTATTTTATGTCTGTTAACTACTAATTTGGAGTCCTTTTCACAGGAATGTGTTGCTGGTTTATTTACTGGATTACTCAGTAGCTCTTAAAGTGGCAGGTATCAAGTGGGGAAGCTAATTCCCACTTCTGGGTCTCAGCAGGTATGTGTGTCGAGTTATCTAAATGGACCTTGTGTTTTCTTGGGGCTGCCTTCCTACAGGTAAGAGAAGTATCACTTGGAATTGAAAGCACTCCCATCCCCAGGCATCTGCACAAGAAGCTCCCTCTGCCTGGAAAGCCCTCTCCAGGGCTTGCTCCTCAGAGGAGTGTTCCCCGTACTCCCTACATTAATGTTGAGGCTGCCTGCACCACCTCCATCCCACCTGCATCCTGCTTGGCCCTGTCACTCAGTCTCCTATCACTGTGCTTTGTTTCCTTCTCAGCACCTTTCGCCATGTTAAACCATTTCATTATTTATTTGCTTATTATCCACAGGTCTCCCCTGGATCTGACAGTTATAAGATCCACGGAAAGAGAGGCTTTGTCTATCTTGTTCTCTGATACATTCCCAGTGCCTACAGGGTTGTCAGGCACGAAATAGTCACTCAGTAAGTATCTCTTAAATGAATGGACAGATGCAGTCCTTGGCTCACATCAACGGATCACTTGTAACATTTGAGAAAATGGTGATGTTTCCCTGAATAACTCCACTCTTTGGATTGAAGACCAAGTAAACATACATATAGTGCTGTGTTTTTACAAATGCTTTAATAGTGAAAATTGCAAACACATACGAATGGAATGTGAACAGCATCACATAACATCACAAAACATCACAGCACATCACAAAACAGTAGAAAGTATCCCTCTTCAACAATTACCAATACATGGCCAGTCTTGCACAGGTAAAGTACTATGTACTTAATGCTGCTAAAATAAGACCATTGAGAGAATTTCAAAAGTTATATTAATGTCTGATCCAACATGGATTCATATTCAACTTAGGGAAACAAACTAGCAGATTATAAATTTCCAAAGGGCTCATCTAAGTTTCACATGGTGCTGAGAATAGTAATCACTCCTTTTCTCAGAGACTTCAACCCTCCTATATATCCAGAGTAAGAAAGCTGTGAGTATCAAAAATAGATGTTCTACAGCCCCAAGGGGTCAGCCATGTCTCCACTCCTAATGCACTCAGTGGCTGCTTTACCTACCCTGATTTGACCTGTTCTATTATCTAGTTTTCCAGCACACACAGCAGATACGACAGCTAACAAGCAGGGCTGTGAGACAGGGTGGCAGCCGAACGGTGTCTCCTGGCAGCCCAATACTGTGACAAGAGGTGAAAGCTGAGGGCAACCCAAGCCCCTTTCACCATGTGGAAAATAATGGATGCTCATGATGACATCCAGCAGCCTCTGGCTCTGCTACGACAGTGAAGAAATACAGCAAAACAGTGCAGGACCAGTGTTTGAAGGAATAAGCTCCAGTGATCTGAAAAATTAACTTCTATTAAAATACTCATGGAAGGGAAGACATAAGCAGCAGGTTGAGTTAGAAGAAAATTTTTTGTTGGATTAGGATTTATTTTAGATAAAGATTCTAGACAATTTCAATGATTTAGGATTAAGCTTGCTTGGTTTCTGTTTTAGTGTTTTGACCAAAAGGGTGTAATTACATGTAGTTTTCGTCCCAGTCTCTATTACATGGTCCAGGTCAAGAAAACAGGAGTGACCAACAGAAGAAAACATACTCCAATGAGGCACGAAATGAAAAGGTGCAACTGGGTATGCCCAAATCAGCAGGCCTCAAACCTGTCATGAAACATGTCTAAAAAAAAAATACAAGGTAAATTAGCATTCCTAGCATCTTCACCTTCACTTCTCCCCCACTTACCAAAAATGAAAGGTGGGAAGGAGAGAGGATAGGAAGAACACTTTTTTCTTTTACAATCATCAAGGAGAACAATCATTTTCATTAGTGTTTCTATACACAAAATCTTTCTCTGCTTGAGACATTAAAAAGAAAATTTTGGTCTGGGCCTTTTGGTTAGCTTCCTACTTTTCTGGAATACCATTCCAAGGACAATGAATATCCTTTCAAAGCTGAGACCTTATTCTTTTCATCAATTTACAAAACTACCTATTCACTCTACTTTCATGTAAAAGTAATATGCGGCTGGGTGCGGTGGCTCACGCCTGTAATCCCAGCACTTTGGGAGGCCGAGGTGGGTGGATTACCTGAGGTCCGGAGTTCGAGACCAGCCTGGCCATCATGGTGAAACCCTGTCTCTACTAAAAATACAAAAATTAGCTGGGCCTGGGGGCGTGCACCTGTAATCCCAGCTACCCAGGAGGCTGAGGCAGGAGAATCTCTGGAACCAGGGAGGAAGAGGCTTCAGTGAGCCGAGATTGCACCACTGCACTCCAGCCTGGGTGATAGGGCAGGACTATGTCTCAAAAAAAAAAAAAAAAAAGTAATATGCATTGCTTAGAATAAACATTGTAAATTGAAAGTGAACTGCAAATAAGTTTGCCCTTAAAGGGTCATATCCTCCAAGATAAATGCTATCTTAAGGTACTGGAAAAATTCCACTGCAATCCTGAGGCCTACTAGGCAAATGGAACCAATGGAAACAATGAAAAATACATAAATGACACCTTTCCCAAAGATATTCAGAGAAGGATTACTGCAGCAAGACACACTAATGTTAGTGTAGTTCAGAGTAGGGGGTCCCATAATCAAACATGTTTTTTAATGCCTGCCTCTATAAGCCCCCAACTTAAAAATTCCCAAAGCATGGTAGCATATCAAGTGCACTGAGAAGTTGTGCAGTAAATAAACTGATTTAACTTTATTTTACTGCAGAGACATTCTTCCCTGCATGGCAAACATTAGCATCCAGTTCAAGGGAACACACTTCAAGGAAAGCTGACAAATCTCAAGTAACAATAACCAGCTAATACAGAAAAATAGACTCACAGTCTTCACTTTATGAAGGAGGAAAAACATACTCAGAGACCTACTTTTAAAAATGTCAGAGGACCATAACAATGATGCCAGTAACCCCTTAGTACAATCTTTCCAGAAAGTTTTTCTACATTTGAAAATAAATGCAAACAGCTGAGCTTTTTATTCGCACTTTGATCATTTCCATTGGGGTATTTTAAAATGAGACAATGGGTGTGCCCCTTCACTGACTCCCTCAGTGAGGACACAATAGAACAGAACATCTGCCAATAACTGATGAGAATCAAGGTGGGGAGAGAGGAAGGGAGGAGAATGCCCTTGGAAAGCCAAGAGTGGGAAGAACAAAAACTCTTGGTGTCGTCCTGTGCTCTGAAGACTAGCCTGCTTCTGGTTAAACCACTTGGGCTCTTGGCTGGCCCCAATCTACCTAAAGCTCCAAAGCTTCCCCCAGTAGAAGTTTTGTTTTTTGCTTATAGACATTTCACTTTTCCTGCAAGTCCTATTAGTTGAGTGACTAAAAAATCTGCAGAGTTTACTTATAGAAGTACTTTTATTGATTAATCCAAAGAGAAACTTAAGCTTTTAAATCAGGTAAAAAGGGGCATCAAACACAATACATTGAACTTTTAATTAACAACACTGGAAGCATTTTTGGGCCCACAACAATTTAACTCACTTCAAGTCCAATTTAACTTATTTCAAGTCACTAGAAGGAGTGACCCCAGGGGAGGGCTCATCGACAAGATCCTGCAGACACAGGGCTTTAACTCCAGACCCAGGAGACTCAGGTCAACAGCTAACAGCCCCTGCAAAAGTCCATCACAGTCCATTCTCTAGAAGGTCTCCAGAAATGAGAACATCTAGTATTTCCACTAAGGAAAGCCAACAATTTGGAAATTCCCAACCCCCAACTCAAGGGATCTGTGGCAAGGTGACTTGAGGAGTTTGGAGTCCATGTTGTTTTCCAAACACCAGTGAAGAAACAAACCTGGAGGATGGAAAAATAAACCATGGTACTCCATACAATGCAACAGTTTACAGCAGTGGAAGGACATTAACCACAGTTTCACACATCAATGTGGATGAATCTGAAAAAAATAATGTTGAAAGAAGAAAGCAAGCCCGTGAATAATATATTCAACATGATTCTATTACATTAATTCACCAAAAAGGGCAAAACTAAAAATATATTGCTTGGGGATAAATAGTTAAATGAAAAACTTAAAAAAAAAAAAAAAAGAAAGAAATGATAACCATAAAAATCAGGAAAGTGAGGTTATTTAGAAGGACACTCCTTTGGGTCCACTCTTCTAAAACATGGGTTATCTGTGTTTTCAGCTAGATAGAGGGTATGTGGATATTCATTTCTATTATTATTCTTTAATTGTACATATTTCTTCTTTTTTTAATTAAAAAAAAATAGAGATGGGGTCTCACTACATTGCCTAGGCTGGTCTCAAACTCCTGGGCTCAAGCGATCCTCTTGCCTCAGCCTCCCAAAGTGCTGGGATTACAGGTGTGAGCCACCACACCCAGCCTGCACATATGTTTTACGTATGTTTTATCACCTTCATATATATTCCACAATTTTAAGAAGTAAGCAAGGCCAGGCATGGTGGTTCACGCCTCTAATCACAGCACTTTGGGAGGCTGAGGCAGGTGGATCACTTGAGCTCAGAAGTTCAAGACCAGCCTGGGCAACATGGCGAAACCCTGTCTCTACAAAAAAATTACAAAAATTAGCCAGGCATGGTCGCAGGTGCCTGTATTCCCAGTTACTCAGGAGGCTGAGGCAGGAGAATCGCTTGAGCCACAGAAGTGGAGACTGCAGTGAGCCAAGATTGTGCCACTGTACCCCAGCCTAGGCGATGGGATTGAAACACTGTCCCTAAATAAATAAATAAATAAATAAATAAATAAATAACAATAAAATAAAAATAAAAAGTAAGCAGTGATTCTCTCCAAATATAAAAATTTAAAAATAAAGTAGATGAGTCAGGAGACTTCAATTAGGAGAGATTAATCAACTACGGGAAGGTCAAGAATGCCCCCGGAATTCAGTAAGTCTTCACAATTAAAACAGGAAATTCCATTACATCTTCCCTGTTCCAAAGACCTGGAGGCTGCCAGGCATGAATCCCTGGGTTTGGTTTTTTTTTTTTGGTGGTTGGTAGCTTAGTTTTCTTCATGTTTGCGGAAAGATAATATATGGTTATTGGGGTGACCCTCTTCACAATTACTGCATTAAGAAACATACATTTTCAAATGACACTTAAGATAAATGAGAAGGGCCAGTAAAAAGGGAGCAGACCAAAATCTTTCACGAGCTGCATGCCAAGAATCACATAAAAGCTTTTTAGCCCTTTCTCAATTTCCTCTAAGTCTTCAATCACCTTTTCACCAGTGTCTGAGCTAAGAATATACTAGACATCTTCATTTCTTATCTCAGATGTCAGTGAGGGCACAACTCTTAAAAACCTTTCCCTAAGATTCAACTAGCTTAGCAGCCCAGGAGAATAATAACCAGTATTTACATGATCAGCCCTCTCAGGTCAGGCCCAGTCCTCAATCCTGTTGTATCTTCAGCACCCACTTCAATATCCGACACATGGAAGAGCTAAAAAATCTTTTACTTTAAGATATGACTCTCATATAACATGTTCACAGGTTAAAAATACATATGTACAAGACTCTAGAATTTTAAAATTATTTTTAAAACTTTAAAAAAATTATCAGGATCACTGAATAAATATATGTTAAAACTGTGAGATATCTGAGCAGAGATGATATTTCTAAGCATGTATTTCAGAAACCATTTGTTCACGTGCTCAAAAAAGCCACTTACACAGATTCCAGCAGGACCCATACTTGATCTGCAATATTTTCCTGACACTAATTACAATACTAGTTAGAGCTGGTGACAATAGACATTTTAGGGATTTTTCTGAACAATCTCTAGTCGTGGACTTGAAATAAGTTAAATTGCTATGGGCCCAATGATACTCTCAATGTTGTTACTTAAAAGTTCAATGTATTAGTGTGTTTGATGTCCCTTTTTTTCTGATGTAAAAGCTTCTCTTTGAATTAATCAATAAAAGTGCTTCTATAAGTAAACTGCAGATTTTTTAGTCACTCAACTAATAGGACTCGCAGGAAAAATGAAATGTCTATAAGCAAAAAACAAAACTTCTACTGGGGGAAGCACCTCTTAAAGCTTACATTTATATTGCACTAAATATTCTTTTTTTGCCCAATTCTTCCTTACAAATGCAACAGAACAAGGACAAAGAGTTATAGGAAGGACGGCATGATAAGCCGAGAAGTGGATGAGAAGGGGCAAGACAGAGAAAAACGAAAGTTAAAAGAAGGCTGCTAAGAAGCAAAGTCTTCCAGATGTAGATGGAAACATACTGAGATAATTATTTTTACATTCCATGCACAATATTTTCTTTTATTAGTGATCATAGCTGGGTATGAAATGAAAACTTAGCTGATTCAGAAGTGACAGCAACAAATTGCTACAACGCTTAGGTTAACTGATTTCCCCACACCATATGATGGGCAATATCTAAAAAGACAGGAGACAGATGGATATAGTCCTAAGAAAATTTAGTATCTTTATATACAAGCTTCATGTCTGAATCAAATTAAATTCCCTTCTTCCTCTAAACACGCTCCCCCAAAAGAGAAAAAAATATATCAACAAATGCTTCCAGTGTATCCATCAGATTATCTGGGAGAATAATATCCAAGCGGAGGGACAGACAAGTGCAGAAACACTGAGGCAAGCGCATGCCTGGAGACGAAGATGTTAGGAAATAGTCTTCTTTGGGATGTATTCTGAAGTTAGAGCAAAGAGATTTGCTGATGAGTTGATCTGAGGTGTGCAGGTGAGAGAGGAATCATTGAGAACAAAGTTTTTCGCTTGAGCGGGAGGAAGAATAGGGTTGCCTTTGACTGAAATGAGAGGCTGTGGGAAGAGCTGATTTGGTGGAGGAAATGAGGAATTTGGTTTCAAACATGCTAACTTTGAGATGCTTATTAGACATCTAAATGAGAAAGGCAATATGAGGTCAAAATAAAGATGACACTTCAAGCTAGGGACCTGTGTGAGATTATTCACTGTCTTGTGTGGAGTAAACACACATGGTTTCTCCATCATCACTTTGAAGGCACAAATCTAGCAGACAACTCACAAGAGAAAGCAAAAGATTTCCTGGACACTTTACTGGGAGAGAACACAAACAACAGTCCGTGGGCAGGAGCTGATAATCAACAGTATGTGCTTCAGTGTATGTGCACTGCATTTAAACAAAGTTTATCACCTCAACACTTAATAAAGAACATGTCTAATTAGCAGCAGTTATTCTGTGAGAATTGGGGGGCTACCAGAGTAATGACGAAGGCAAACAGTGTTATCTGTTGGAAGGGTTTTTCAGGAGTAAGGACACTAAAATGTCAGTTAGCTCTGGAAATTAGTTATTAATGAAGAGGATACTTGGCTAGGAGAGCAGCAAATCAGAAGGAAAATTTAGTTAGCAGTATAAATAGCTACAATTACTAAATATGTCAGTTACTACTAACCTGCCCCTAACCCAACTCTTAAAGAGAATCTGCTGTGCCCACAGCACCAGAAGAGGCAGCTGTATCTATGATGCTCTTATGTAAAATGCTCATCTTATAATGAAGATGTCAGAACCAGACATATAATTAAAGTAGTCATCATGTCCACGGTCCTACTAATTCTGAAAAGAAATGCATTGCTTATCTTGTATTAATATATAGAGTGACCAACATTCAGTTCTTGTAAACTTCCACGAATTCCTAAATTTATCTGTCTCCTGGTGCATTTCTTTATTTTTTTGAGGCAGAGTCTCACTCTGTCACCCAGACTGGAATGCAGTGGCACAATCTTGGCTCACTGCAACCTTCTGTCTCCTGGGTTCAAGTGATTCTCGTGCCTCAGTCTCCCGAGTAGCTGGGATAACAGGCACGCACCACCACACCCGGCTAATTTTTGTATTTTTAGTAGAGATGGTGTTTTGCCATGTTGGCCAGGCTGGTCTTGAACTCCAGCCTCAAGTGATCTGCCTGCCTCGGCCTCCCAAAGTGCTGGTATTACAGGTGTGAGCCACCATGCCTGGCCCCTGGTACGTTTCTTTAAAACACATGTAGGAGGTTTTTCTGATATTTAGAACAAAGTTTCACCAGCTGCTTCTCGGCTAGAAGGCATCCCCAATTATATACTCACTGGAAAAGCATCGGACTAATAAGAAGGAGACTGAAATTTTCTTTGACGTAAAAATTACTTATAATCTCAGAGTGTAATAAGTGGAGAATGTTTAAGTATATTAGGATATATTCAGATGATAAACAACTTGTAGCTACTATCTGAAAGTAGTTCCTTAAAATGTAATCAGAATCCAACAATTCCACTTCTGGGAATATACCCAAAAGAAGAGAAAGCAGGGACTGGGCGCGGTGGCTCATACCTGTAATCTCGGCACTTTGGGAGGTCGAGGCAGGCAGATCACTTCAGATCAGGAGTTCGAGACCAGCTGCGCCAACATGGTGAAACCTCATCTCTACTAAAAATACAAAAATTAGCCAGGTGTGGTGGTGCATGTGACTGCAGTCCCCGCTACTCAGGGGGCTGAGATGCAAGAATTGCTTGAACCCAGGAGACAGGGGTTGCAGTGAGCTGAGATCACACCATGCCCTCCAGACTGGGCAACAGAGCAAGACTCTGTCTCAAAAAAAAAAAAAAGTGAATGCAGGAACTTAAACAGATAAAAAGTGAATGCAGGAACTTGAACAGATATTTGCATACCAGTATTCATAGCAGGATTACTGACAACAGTCAAAAGGTGGAAACAACCCAAGTGTCCATCAGTGGACAAATTAATAAACAAAATGGGGTATATACTACAATGGAATATTATTCAGCCATAAATAGGAAGGGAAGTCTGATACATGCTACAACATGGATGAACATTATGCTAAGTGAAATAAGACAGACACAAAAGGATAAACACTGTATGATTCTACTTACATGAGGTACCCAGAGTAGTTAAATTCATAGAGACAGAAAGTAGAAGAGCAGTTCCCAGGGGCTTGGTTGGGGGTGGGGGACAGAAAATAAGGAGTTATTTAATGGGTATAGACTTTCTGTTTGGGATGATGAAGAAGTTCTGAAAATGAATAGTGGTGATGGCTGCATAACACTGTGAATGTATTTGATACCACTGAATTGTACACTTTTAAACGGCTAAAATGATCAATTTTAAGTATATTTTGCCACAATAAAAATATGAATCAGAGTACAATTAATTTCCCACCTCCATAATTGCTAGGTACTGAGACAGAGAAAAAGAGTGAGATTTCTCTCAGAGGCAATGGGATGGTGAGGATATGGGAGGCTGGTCCAGGCAAGAAGACTCTTGGAATAAACAAGCAACTTCCACCTGGCAGGCCTCTTGGCGTGAGCCCGTGCAGCACCAGAGCAGCACCCCCTACACTCCAGAGGCTGGCACCAGCAGACAGCAACAACACCCTGACCACTCACAGTCATCAGCCAGCTGATATGTGAAAGACAGGCTTCAGCAAGAGAAAGGCAGTCTAGAATCTTTCTGTCCTGTATACTGTGCAAAATCACACAGGCTGCGAGAAAATGCAATATATGAAAGCTGAAGACCTCCTGCAGAAATTTAGGTATCTACTTCCCAGGCTGGTTTAAGTATGGAAAAATAAACTGAAGTCTGTGAAGCTAGTCACCTGGGCCAACTCATCCCATCTTCATCAGACTTTGCACAGTACAGTTTCATGAACCAAAATGACTACCCCTCATGTGCATGCTTCTCTATAGCGTAGGTGTTTTGTGTGAACATATTTTTGGGGTTTATTTTCTAAAATGTTCAAAGTACTCCAAACCTGTCTCAGATGAAGTTCAAGGAAACCTTTCCACACCAGTTGGAATCAGTAACATGAGAGAATCTAGACACTCTCAGAGCCCTAAGGTGGTGGTGTCAGTGGATCCAGACAGCTACAGAACCTGGGAATACCAGGTGCTAGCCACATCAGAGGCCACCACCAAAGGGCAGAGGAGCCACAATGGGTTCTACTTCATGGACCAAAGTGCTGCAAAGGGATTGAGGGAAAAGGAAATCCGGAGTTCACTTTATTCTGCTGTATCTATTATGCTACAAGGAGACTACAAAGCAGTCAAATGCCTCACTATAAATACCTTCTCTTTGCTGCTCTGTATCATGCTGTCCAAGATAGTTTACCATTAGAACACCACAAAGTAAGAAACTGTATTTCCCTGCTTCAAGTAAGGTCACATGTGTTAAATGTCATCAGAATATAACCATGCAAAAAATTATGATGGTTAAAAAGATGTTCACAGAAAACACATAATAGAGGTCACATAAAGTCCTAAACTTCAACTTCAGAATACCTTTGGTCACATGAATCATTTAAACCTGAACTTAGAAAGAAAGACTGGTACATAATGGAAATGTATATTTCCATTATATAATGGAAAGAATTTAATGTAAGATCATAGACACTATAAATAACCTAAAAGCTAAACACAAGATTACAAACAATTTGATCATGTGAGCATTCCAGAATGAGCTCATGCCACAGCAATAACTCAAAAGAAAAGAATTTCTCAAAAAAAAAAAAAAAAAAAAAAAACAAAGGAGCTCTTTGAGAAAAAGGTACAGGATTCTCACAATTTGTTAAATCACTACCTGCTTTGTAAAGCATATTTTAGGCTAAAAACGAAATTCTTATCACCTGGCTTTACCTATGTGTGTGTGTGAGAGAGACAGAGAGAGAGAGACAAGGTGGGGGGCGCATGGGGAGGGCAGGGTCTCACTCTGTCACCAAGGCAAGGCTAGAATGCAGTGGCGCCATCATAGCTCATTGCAGCTTTGAATTTCTGGGCTCAAACAATGCTCTAGCTTCAGTCTCCCAAACAGCTAGGACTAGAGGTGTGTGCAGCACTCTCGACTATTTTTTTTTTTTTTGAGACAGAGTCTCGCTCTGTTGGCCAGGCTGGAGTGCAGTGGCACGATCTTGGCTCACTGCAAGCTCTGCCTCCCGGGTTCACGGCATTCTCCTGCCTCAGCCTCCCAAGTAGCTGGGACTACAGGCGCCCGCCACCATGCCCGGCTAATTTTTTGTATTTTTAGTAGAGACGGGGTTTCACCGTGTTAGCCAGCATGGTCTCGACCTCCTGACCTCATGATCTGCCCGCCTTGGCCTCCCAAAGTGCTGGGATTACAGGCGTGAGCCACCGCGCCCGGCCGCACTCTCAACTATTTTTGGTGGGAGGGAAGACAGGGTCTCACTATGTTGCCCAGGCTGATCTCAAACCCGACCTCAAGTGATTCTCCTGCCTCAGCCTCCCAAAGTGTTGGGGTTATAGGCGTGAGCCACCACACCTGGCCTGGTTTTACCTTTCTGACCTCCTCCTGTAGCAGGAATGAGGCACTACATGCAAACACATTAGCCAGTCTTCATGATGGCACTAATCCCACAACCAGACAACAGTCAACGGCACAGTTGAAAGACAGCTGACAAGAAGGGCAACTGTTACACAAGACTCACTGAACCTTAAGTCAAACAAACAGGACTAAAAATGGGGCTACAGTCTGCCTGCAATGCTTAAAAAGATATCATTTGTGAAGTGTATTATCCTTTTGCTCTCTGAAGGATAAAAGGACTTAACAGGTGACAAAACTTGGCCAAGTGCTACGGAAACTAGAAAGGAGAACAACATTACCCCTTTCCTGGAAAAAAAAGAAGCACAATTTATTTTGAAACTTTCATCAATATACATTAAACCATTTGGGAGTATTTACTTAGGAAGGAGATGAAAGAAGTACCAGCTTAGCGGGCATTGTGAAGCACCATGAGAATGTATAAGGGAGAGCTCACAAATGCCTAATTCCTTAGCTTCCTAATACAGGCACTGAACAAGAAGTAACAAATTCCTCAGGTGATAAATCATTTTTTAAAATAACGGATTCATGCATTTCCACAGAGACAGTAATTATTTTAATTTCCTGGAAACAGGGTAATAGGAAAGGAACTTACGTTATCAGGAAAAACAGCATTCAGAAGCTATCTTGCATTTGCTAAAGTTGCCTGACCTCAGAGTTCATACAAAGGCTGAGTGGTACTGCCAAATTAGCTGGGCAGGATGGAAGGTAGACTAGAAGAACCTGGATTTGCCACACTTTGCCATAACCTTCCCTGGGACAGAAAATCCAGGGAGTTAAGTAAGTTTCCACAATAGACCACAGGGCTGGGAAAAGAAAAGGGACAGTGGTGATCTCACTACCACTACCCTGGAGTTCAGAGGATTTTAACACGCTTCTAACAGGCTTTCTCAAGCATGAGTTCACTTGATCATTGTGAAAATCCAAACTGTTTACAGACCAATGTTCCCATTTACAGAATACGGTTTACACAAGGGGTTAAGGAACTTGCCTAGAATTTGGTAGACTCAGGCTTAAAAATTGTTCTCTGTATTCTAAGTGTTTTCTCCACTAATCAACATCCGGCAGGTTCATTTTTGATTAACAAAGGGCCTTCCTAAAATATCAATGAAACACACATATATGCATAATATCCTTGCTGTTCTTTCATGGGAAAACACCACATTCTTAAGGCTTTGTTTTTTATGTGTGATGTTACACACTTATTATTCCTAAAATGTTAAAGGCCAAACTGTGAGAGCTTTCACATAATAAAGTGCTATTTCTAGTGCTAGAGTTTTGTTCTTGGTTGACCAGTTTATTCTAAGGTCACGAGAGCTGGATTATCACTTTAGCTTTGTCTTATTTTGCTACCTTATACAAATTCTTTACTGTTCTTTCAGATTTTGATGAGATCTTCCTCTTTCAAATGGATATCAAACACAATTTGCACTCATGAAATAGTATTCCATGGAGTCTTAAGAGAAGTGATGTGGCATAAAAGAATCAATTCTAACTAATGGGGCTATTGAGTACCTATTGAACACTTACCATGTGTTTAGCACCATGTAGTAAAATAAGAAGTGATAAAGGTACCCTAAAAACTCACATGTTGGGAAGGCAAAATAAAAACCAGGGACACAAAATATTGCATTCTTGATGCTTTGTTCTTATTTATTTTTAAACTTTTTCTTAGAAATAGGATCCTGCTATGTTGCCTAGGCTGGTCTCAAACTCCTGGACTCAAGTGATCTTCCTACTTCAGCCTCCCTGGTAAGTGGGACTTCAGGCATGCACCACCTCACCTGGTTCCATGAAGCTCTGTGGTCATAAATGACAACATTGTAAGACTGGACAATAGAAGACAGTAACAACTGTGTGTTCATGACAGCGTAGGTATTAGAGCCTCAGAAAAACTTTTAAATGCGATTTCTTCTAATGATAATGGGAAAAAAATGCAGAAAGTATAAAAGAAAAATAAAGAGCCCCAGTAATCCCATTATCCAGACATAAGATAACTATTGTTAAACAATAATGGTAAATTTTCCTTCTAGATTTGTTTCTATGCTTCTGTTCCCCACAATGGTTCCCAAACTGTGGTCCCCAGACTAACAGCATCAGCATCACCTGGAAACTCACTGGAAAAGCAAATGCTTGAGCCCCACTGCAGACCTACTGAATAAGAAACTCTAGGGGAAGACACAGCAATCTGTGTTTTAATAAGCCCTCCAGGTGACTCCGATGTATGTCAAAGTTTGAGAACCACCGACACATGCTAGACACACACACAGATACACACACATAACTTTTCCCCTCCCAAATGGGGTTATGGTAGACATACTGTTTAAAATTTTACATCCATATTTGGCACCAGGCTTATATTTTGAAAATCACCTAAATATTGCATAAATACTGTATTGTATGCCCGAATGCCTTGTACATCGGTGAACAACATCACAAAATGCTTCATAGAACTAATGCAATTAAACACCAAGAGTCAGCCAGACTAAAGCATTGCTGGCTGAATAAACAAGTCATTTAGTAACGTTGCGACCTTATGAAATCCATTTTAGAAATTCTGCATAGTTGCATAAGGCTTTTAGATCTTCTTTCTAAAAAATAAGGAACATCTGCATTAGCTTCTTGATCCTGCCTGTGAATCTATTTTGGGGTTACTTAGAAACTTGCTTTTGTTTTCCAACATTCTGGCACTGAGCAAACAGTTCTCTGACCCACCAATCTGACACACCGGAACTGTCACCTCAACACCCTTGTATTTGCCTTCTCCCCACCCCACCACAGCACAGCACTACTGTACAGATTCCAGAAACGCTATGCAAGCTCCTACAGCTTGTATGCAGGCCAGAGGCCTTGACTCAGATAGCAGAGAGAGGGTTGAAGCGAGGAGGAAGTCTGTGAGAATGGAAAGAAAAAAAAAAAAAACTGGGGTAAGTGGCACCAACATCCCATGGAGATTTTGCTTAATTTGGCCAAATTATTTTTCCAGTTCTGGAATACATCCCTTTCCAAATCTCTGCCAACCCCAAGGAAATCACAATACGGTAAAGCAGAGGAAAAAGTCAAGCTTTTCATTTGCTCAAGGTCACCCAAAAAGCTTAATTAGAAAAAAAAATTAATTCACAGTAAGATAAGAATATCTAAAGTGTATCATTGTTTCTTTAAAAGAAGAGAAAGGCTCTGTGACCTCGGCCATATCCTTGAACCTTCCTGGGCCCAGTTTCTCTTCTATTAATAATGAAAAGAATGGCTGGAGAACATGAATTTAAGAGTTGTCAAGTGATGGGAACAAAGGAAACCCAAGAAAGTGCAGGTATAACATGATTTTACAGCACCTATAAAAGATGTACTGGTTGGCAATCTCTCCTCTTAACCAAGAAAGAGTGCATACCAACTGCATCTTTCTTTGTTAGAAACCTCCTGAGCTCCCTGTAGCCTCAACCTCCTGAGCTCAAGTGATACTCCTGCCTCAGCCTCCCAAGTAGCTGGCACGCACCACCACACCCAGCTCATTTTTTTTTTTTTTTTTTTTGTAGAGACAAGGTCTCACTATGTTGCCCAGGCTGGTCTCAAACTCCTGGACTCAAGTGATCCTTCTGCCTTGGCCTCCCAAAGTGCTGGGATTATAGGTGTGGGCCACAATGTTTTGGCCTTCCAGTATTCTTTGAATAAAGAAAATAATTAACTAAATGGGACATAAGAAGGAGTAGAAATCAGAATGATCAAACCAACAATTTAGATTTTTTTTTAAGTTTATTGATTTCCTGACACGGGAAAAATATTATGTACAGTTCCAAAAGCAACTACTTTAACAAGTTCTGATTCTAAGTATGAGTGAAATATAAACTTCCAATGCAGAAGCAATAGTGTGTTTCTGTGGTTCACTTTTACCTTCAACACAAAGCATTAGAAATGCCTTTCTTCTAATGGGAAATTTCAACTAGTTCGACCTGCCTGCCTAGCTCCCCACCAAAGCCTGGCACAGTGGCTTAATAATCACATTTATCTCAGCCAGCTCCTGGAGCGCCTTTCAAACATATCCCTTAGTCCTGCTTTTATCTTATTACAATGCAATGTAACTATGGAAACATAGGATTTCAAGTTATATTTTCTCTCACAGATAAAGAAAGCTGCCTTTTATAACTCAATTCAATCTAAATTGTGTCGTTAGGGTCAACTTTTATTTTTTTTTGAAGAATGCGAAAAAGTAAACATTTAAGTTGAAAAGAATAAAAAGACAAGCATTTTCATAAAAACCAGGACACAGTTTCTTCGTAATTACAAAAGGCACCTCTTTCCATCTCTCACACTACTGTCTAATGGCCACAGGACATTGGCCTTCTTCAAATTCTTAAGTGACCTGTGTGAGGTCAGAGCAGAGGGCCCGGCTTGTAGCGTGCACTTGCAGGTAGGCAAGAAAAGAAACCTACACCAGTTGCTTAAGTGCAGACGAGAGCGGCTGAACACCATCCCATTCCTAATTAGGAACTTTCAACTCTCCCTATGCTACATGCTCCCAAAGCTAAAAAGCCAAATGAAATATTCCAGCAGGTAGTATTCTAAAATCATAAATACAGAATCCCCAATAATATCATAATAAAAAGACGCCGAAGGCCAGGCACCGTGGGTCATGCCTGTAATCCCAAAACTCTGGGAGACAGAGGCAGAGAGGATCACTTGAGCCCAGAAATTCGAGACCAGCCTGGGCAACATAGGGAAACCCTGTCTCTACAAAAATATTAAAAATTAGCAGGGCATGGTGGCACATCCCTGTGGTCTCACCTACTTGGGAGGCCGAGGTGGGAGGATCGCTTGAGCCCAGGAGGTAGAGGCTGTGGTGAGCCATGACTGCACCACTGACTCCAGCCTGGGCAACCAAGCAATACCCTGTCTCCAAAAAAAAAAAAAAGACACTTAAAAATAATACTCTTGTGCTGTTTGTCATAAATATGGCCACCATCTAATGTAAAATGTGACTCAATTTTCACTAGTAATAACCAAACATATCAGTTTCACAAGGGTCCCTTTACCTTGCAGTGAGGCAGATCCTGTATTGATTTATTACTGCAATACCTGAAGCAAGTTCCTTTACACCTGTGCTCCAGGCTTCCCACCACGCTAAGGGCAACAGCAACTTCACTTGTTGGCCCAAAATAAATATTTAATAACAAAAGCTTATTTTTGGCTAGTTGTGTTATTTTCACCATTTACCTGGGGAGGGGGAGGAATACTAAAAGGCCAAAATGGTTCTCTCTCTCATGAGTGGGATTGGAAATATTTTTTTCTTATCTGTGCTTTCTATAGCTGTCCTGAATAAATGTCACAATCAGACTTGGAAGAAACACTGTCCTTGGCAAAGAATAATTCCTACTAAGGATAGGCAGTTTAAGGCTCAAGCCCTGAGCTATTTCTGCTGAGCCCCCATGGGATCAGAGAGGAAAATTCAGCACCACAGAGACCTGGCTCAGCTCAGCAGGCAGCTGGGTCCTCACTATGGTCCCTACCTGGCCCCCACCTGTTGGAGTGGCTCAGTTCAGAGAAAAACGACACATCCTGCGCTCTCTTGTCTGTGCCAAGTGATCAGAAGCTCAGTTCTGGGGCTGGGGCTGTGCAAACTATTTTTCTACAAGCAACCAAGTGACTCTAACATGTAGCCAGTGTTGAAAACCACTGCCCCAACAGATCCACGAACCTCTAAGCACCAATTTCCCATAAAAAGGAGGGGGAATTTAAATTCTCTCATAAAATGTAGCTCTCTCTCCGTAACTGAAAAGGAGGAACTACCCTTGACAGTCTCATAAAACTGTACCCTTGTGAACAAAAATGTTTATCCACTTCAATTTTTACAAGTATATAACAAAAAGCTAGTTACTTTCAAAACTCAAAAGTTGATGTACACTACATTGATTAGTACAAATGAAGCTCTTAAAAAGATAAAATTATTCATTTCCAACCAGATTCTTGAGTTAAGATAAAATCTGATGGTTTGATTGGCTTTGAAGAGATCTTAAAGCCATATTTCCTCTCTTTAAACTATAGCTCCTTTCATCTTATGCTGACTGTGCACAGAGGTTTTTTTTCTTAACGAAAAGACAGACATTTCTGCTAATGAGAAAAAAGCCCACACTGACCAACTCAAACACATATGAATGATTAAAAGTAACTTCATATTACTTATGTCAAAGTCCAGGTTAATTTGACATTATCAGAACAATTCATCCAGGGAGAGGGCTGAGCCTCTCTTCATTGCCCCTAACTTTATTTTTATTTTTTGAGACGGTGTCTTACTCTTCCACCCAAACTGGGAGTGCAATGGTGGGATCTTGGCTCACTGCAACCTCCGCCTCCCGGATTCAAGTGATCCCACCTCAGCCTCCCGAGTAGCTGGGATTGCACATATGTGCCACCACACCTGGCTAATTTTTTTTGTATTTTTAGTAGAGATGGGGTTTCACCATGGTGGCCAGGCTGGTGATCTGCCCACCTTGGCCTCCCAAAGTGCTGGGATTACAGGGATGAGCCATTGCACCTGGCCCATTGCCACTAATTTTAATAAGATCTCTCTTTCTGTCTCTCTCACTCCCCCTCTATCTCTCTCACACACACACATGTGCAAGTGCCCCACTGTATGTTTCACAGTCCCAAGCAAATGTTTAAGAAGAAAATGGAGGCAGAGAGAGTTTGCAGGTATTATGTGCCAGGCTGGTGCCAAGCATTTTACACATATTGTTTCATTTAATCACAGTAATCCTATAATGTGGCTATTATTGCCCTAGGTCATAGATGAGGTTCAGACAAGTTAACAAACATCATAAAAGTCAGTAATGCAACTAACTGTATTCACAAGTAATATTAACGAATAATACAAACATTCAAAAAAATGTAATGAATGATGAAATTTCTATAAAGCAGATTTATGTGTTACATTTAAGTGTGTTTGCATTCCTTTGAAAAAAAAATGAGTAGCAACAACCAGAATGTTTGTTAGGGCAAAGGAAAAGGAGATTGGGCATGGTGGCTCACACCTATAATCCCAGCACTTTGGGAGGCCAAGGTGGGCAGATCCCTTGAGCCCAGAAGGTCCAGACTAGCCTGGGCAAGTTGGCAAAATCCTGTCTCCACAAAAAATACAAAAATTTGCTTGGTGTGGTGGTGTGTGCCTGTAGTCTCAGCTACTTGCAGACTGATGTGGAAGGATCACCTGAGCCTGGGGAAGTTGAGGCTGCAGTGAGCTCAACCGCAGTCACTGCACTCTAGCCTGGGCGACATAGTGAGACCCTGTCTATACATATATACACATACATACATAAATGGAAAGGAAGTCTGGAGTCGGGAGTAACCAACCAACCCTTTCAAGTGGAGAACAGCAACCAACAGACCATTGGAAGTCTCTGGTAACTCCAATATTTGTTATTGCTAGTTGGTCCTAAATTCAAGAGAAAGCACACCCTCAATATAGATTAAACTCCTGAGGTTGCATTGATCTCGGCAGTGATCTCCAATTGTTTTAGTCCTTCGACCTTACATATGTTTATTTTTGTAACTGTCTGAGTAAAACTTGCAATAACTTCCTCCACAGTCCTGAAGACACAGTAAATCTAATTGTGTCGTCTGGAAAAAGTTACAGAAGTCTCTTCATGTAGTAATGGGAAGCAAAGGTACTTTTAAAATACAGCATTGAAGTGATTTATTTGAGGTCTTTGCTAAGTGAAATTATAGTTTTATAGATGGGAATCTGCATCTCAAGCATCACTATTCATCCAACTATTATTGTCCAATATAAGAATGTACAAGAACCTAGACTGGGACCACAGGTGCAAGCCACCATGCCCAGCTAATTTCTTTCCTTTTTTGTTTTTTTTTTTTTGTTTTTTTGAGACGGAGTCTCGCTCTGTCGACCAGGCTGGAGTACAGTGGCACAATTTCGGCCACCGCAACCTCCACCTCCCAGGCTCAAGCAATTCTCCTGCCTCAGCCTCTCAAGTAGCTGGGGCCACAGGCGTGCAACACCACGCCCGGTTGAGTTTTGTATTTTTAGTAGAGATGAAGTTTCACCATTTGGCCAGGTTAGTCTCAAACTCCTGACCTCAGGTAATCCACCTGCCTCGGCCTCTCAAAGTGCTGGGATTACAGGCATAAGCCACCGTGCCCCGCCCTAATTACATAATTTTAAAATTTTTTTTGTAGAGATGGGGACTCACTATGTTGCCAAGGCTGGTCTTGAACTCCTGGCCTCAAGTGATCTTCTCACCTAGGCCTCCCAAAGTGCTGGGATTACAGGCATGAGCCACCACGCCAGGCCTTTAGACTGCTATTAAATGTGGCAATTGCTACATTTAATGCATGATTTATTACAACCCAATTAGAAAGCATAGTGTCTGACACATAAGTGCTCAACAAAGACAACAAAGACCTACCAAATGAAGGAAGGAAAAAAGAATGGTAATGAAACAAGCACACACAAAACACGACCAATGTAATAAGAAAGGTATGAAACATTCCTGGAGGTTGGAGGGTGGAGACATTGCTCCTGGCAGAAGAAATCATGAAGGGCTTCATGAAGATAGAACGGTCCTGAAAGACGGGGACACCATCTACCCTCTCCAGTTGCCCAGTCTAATTTCTCACCTAACGAAGAATTGGGCTTATTATATTGCGGCAGCCTGGAAACATATGCTTATGACTTGATCTAAAACAAACTTCTTATAAAGAATAAAGAAGCATGAACTTTTAAATATCCTTCCAGAAATTTGACAACTAAATCTCACTGAAATGTCAGAATCTAGTATTTCGTTTTCTGAACTATAATGGATTCAACATGGTACTTACAAATCTCTTTCCTCCATTTTCTTCCTGTACATGGAGGATTTCCTTAAATCATCAACTTGGAACTGA